>NC_000004.12:80891077-81042593 GCF_000001405.40 Homo sapiens | reverse complement strand
GTCTAATCTACAACATCGTTTTGTAAAAGTCTCAGAATCTGTCTTACTGCCTCTTCCAATGGCTCTCATTTTAAACCAGTGCTTTCTTATGAAGTCAAAGCCTGTTGGTCCAGTTGCAATTTCACTACAACCAATAGCAGCCCTCAGACAAATAACCTAAGCTCTTTAAGTTTTGGTGTGCTTATCTATAAAGTGGGTCTAGTAGTAGCAACTATAGAGTTGTTGCGAGGATTAATTGAGAGAAGGCACATAAAGCACACAGAAAGTATTCAATAAATGTTAGCTAACTAGAACTGTGGTTTCCAGTATGATAGTATGTAGCCACTTACATTCAAATTGAGATGTGCTGTAAGTATAAAATACATACTGAATTTTGAAGACTTGGTAAGAAAATGAATATAAGATATCGTAGCAATACATTTTATATTAAGCCAGTGTGTGTTAAAGTGACTTTATTGAACTATATTGCATTAAATATATTATTAAAATTAATCTCACTTGTTGCTTTTCACACTTTGAAATGTGGCTACTAAAATTTTTAAATTACATATGTGACTAACATTTGTGGCTCCCCTTATATCTCTATTGGATGGTTGTGGTCTAGAATAATCACTAGTTTTGTAGTCAAAATGGAAAGGAAAAAAAAAAGACTATGCCATGATGATAATACAAGCTGCCGAAGGTGTTAGCTATGCTTGGAGCAGAATTGGGAGCCATTAACTTTACCCAGGTAGAGGCAAAGAAACACACAGGTAGGAAGTAATCTTTGGACCAGACTTTTAAAGATGAAGGAAGAAAGAAATCTTGGTGAGGGGATGGAAGGAACACATTCTAGCAGTATGCAATGCTGTATGTCTGGAAGCTTTTGCAAAAGAAATGTTGCCAATGTTTTAAATAGAAAATATAAAAATACTTACAATTAACTTAGTTATTGAAGTTCTAGTAGTTCTATAGAATTGAAGTTCTAGTGAATGTCTAAGTCATCCAAGTTGAGCAAGGAATGGCCAATCTGAAGGCTAACCAAAGGCATTATGTTATGCCCAACACTTGATGTGTTTGCTCTTGTTATTTCCACCTAGGCTAGGGATCTCTGCCTGTTCTAGGTCCTCTCCCTCCTGGGTTTAAAAAAAACCAAGAAGCAAAACAATAAGCTAGAATTATCAGCCATTTCACAAAGCATTCATTGACTTTGACTTTTCTAACCCATACTTTATTTTTGCCTTCTCTGATTCTAAAACACTTTATTTTTGTGTAAGTTAATGATCTTCTCTCCAAAGCAACTTAACAAATAGTTGCTGAGCATTTACAATGGATGAAAAAAATTGTAATAAGCGAGCAGCATGGGGTCAAGTGAATGTATATAGAGAAGTAAATAAGAGTGAGGTAAACGGCTTCCTGCAAATAGCAGTGCATGATAATATCTACTCAATTACTTTCATGCTCTTTTACTTTTTAGATTTTATATTAACTTGTAAGGTGAGTAACTTTCCATACTTATGAACAGAAGATTTGCATTGTCTCTCTCTTCCCCATGAGTTGTAGCACAGCTTTATCTATGCACACAAATATCTACGTTTGAATATCAGTAAATAAAAAATACCTTAATATTCACCTTTTCTAGTCTTCTGAAATATTCAGATACTTATCTATTGGGAATGATTGAATCAAAAACCTGAAGTGTACTTCCTGATTAATAAGAGCAAACCGATATAATAATGATAAAAAAAAGGGTGGATTTTTTCAGGTTACAAAAAATACTTATGCGTTTTTAGGCTGTGGATAGTATTCGGTACTAGAAAATATTAATTGTATGCTACACTGATCATCTAAATATATCTGGAATTGCATGCCTCATTTTGGGTGCTCTCATTGTAACCAGTTTATTAATGCAGAAGAGAGCAACTTGGAAAGTAACCCAGATGTTGAGGGGTCTGGAAACTATCTCATAGATTTGAGTTGAATAAATAAGAAAACATTGCCTGGAGGGAGAAAAAAAAGTTTAGCAATGATATGAGAATTATTTTCCAATATTTAAGGGACTGTGGAGAGATCAGGGTTTTTCTTTCCAGTGTCAAAGATGAGAATGCAGTCTAACGGTGATAGTTAAATGGAGGCCAAATCCAAGCCAATATAAGTCATGACTTTCAAACTGTTTTACTTAGTGAGATCCATCTGTGGGACTGGGGCAACTGGAGGTAAGTCAAGACTATTACAGGAGGATGTTTTTATGGTAGAGTAGAGTGTGAAAGTGAACGAGAGAACGTCTCATCCCTTGCAAGTAACTATAACCGGCTTTGTTTTCTAGCTTTCCCCAAAGAAATATTTTGATGCCAAAATGTGACTACCAATAGGTGGTGCTATTTTCTTACTGTTTGCTGGCACTGGCACATGGGAATGTATTTATTGCAGCCTAGTTAGGGTTTACCATTAGCATTATAATCTTATATTTTGAATTTTCTAGAGTTTTAACACCTGAGAATTGAAAAGGAGGTTGGAAGTCAGGTGAGTTTCTGAACAAGCTATACTCTCTTTTACACACTTGTTGGGACTTTGCACCTGTTGCTGCTTCTCTCTGCAATGTCTCTACCCACGATTTTTCTCCTTGATAATCCAGATTTGTTTTTTAAGGCAAGGCAGAGATACCATTCCTGGATGCAAGCTTGTCATGACAACCCATTTCCTTGGCTAGGATCCTGCCTCTATTACCATTTTCATTACACCTTTGCTCCTTCTTAAGGCCATAAGTTCCTTAAAGACAAGGCTCTAAATTATATCAGACTCTTCAGCCTCCAACACAGGGCTTGACCCTAAAGCTTTTTTTATATGCATGAGCAAATTTAGTTCAACCTACTCATTAGAGAAATGCAAACATGAAGGACCCTAGGAGTTAGCAAGCTAGCTAGCAATTGACTTTGGAGAGAAAGTCAGATAGGCGTTTTAAAAGGAGTTTGATTATTATATAAAGGTAGAAGATTTATTTCTGTTTTTATCTAAAAACAAAGCACTTGAACCTGATGAAACCAAGGACTCATTTCAGGAAGTCGGGTTCTGACTTCGGGACTTAAGGCCAGCCATGCTATTGCAACACTTCAGTGCCTCTCCAGGAGTAGCTGAGGCTGTGTCCAGGGAGTGGTAAGGGGAAGTTCACCTTTGTGCTGGCCCACACAGAACGTTTGCAAGGGGAATTAGAACATACAATGGAAAGCTTTCTATGTAAAGTCTGATTTTAAAACAAATAGACTAAATGAAATCTTGATGATTAGCTAAATCCCCAGGAAGCAGGGAAAACATTTTAGTCATACAGAAAATATGTGACAAAGAACAACCACCTCCCGCTGCCCCAACTTCTTTCTTCAAACAAAATACAGCTGCTAGAAATGCCAGGGGTGCCTAGGACAGGGACACATCCACCCTCAGTCACTGGCTGAATATTTGCTGCAGATTACTTAGTCAAGATTGCAGCATCCCTGTGCTGCCTTTAACTTTCAGGCACAGGCAAAAGGAAGAATTCTACAAAGAACACAAAGTCATAGAATTGTGTTTCTCCTTCATAGTCCCAGTCAAATGACTGTGCTTTATGGGACCTCAAAACAACCATTCTCTATGTCCAAAGTAAAAACAGCCAAAGATGATATGATGTATGTTTTTCTAGAATAGTAAAATGTTCATTAATCAGTTTATCTACTCTTAGCCTCTGCCCAAAGGCATTCCTAGACTGTGAGTGCTGAGAGGGCAGACCTATGTTCTATAGATCTTTGAATTCCTAGTACTTCACACAGCCTGGAGCACTTAAGTCCCAAAAGGTATTTGTTAGGTGTGTTGAATGAACAACTCTCTAAACTTAACAGATTTAAAAGTGTTTCCTACTTAACACCAAAGCATAAAAACTTTCAAGTAATTTCAAGTTCCCAAAATCAGCAAGAGCCCTTCTTGGGTATAAATACCATATGATATTTCCTTTCAGTTCATTAGAAAAGAATTATTATAATCATTGTATATGAAGTAGAATAGTATTGCCATTTAATATATAAATGGTAAAATGCCCCATAAGAAATTCCTTCAAGGCAAGTTTATTTTTAAAGGATATTTGCCTGGCTGATAGCTTTTGAACTATCTCATCTTTTCTCCTGAATATGTAACTCAACTCAACTGAAGTATTTAGTGAGTGTCAACTACATGGCAAACTGTGCTAGGTCCTCAGAACACAAAGATGAATTGAGATAGACTCCATGTCCTCCAGGGACTTGCTTTGTAGGCCCCTGCTCATACCATATTTTTCTTCTAGCAAATTTATTATATCATAAACTCTCTGCAGCTATGAGTGAAGGGTAAGCAGTCTTGATTAACTTATTTTGAAGACTTCTTTATGGCAAAACCATCATAAAGGCAGTAATATACCTTCTAAGGTATATATTTTAAAAAGCTTACCATTATATAAGTCAATAAACCATTTGTTTATGGATAGGCCCACTAAAAGGGCCAGATGAGATCAGGAATAACATGATAATCAATTCTAGATTTTAAGAGGCTGGTTTTGATATAAAATACTCAAAACTCTAGGGACAGAAGCTTAGAGCAGTGTTTCTCAAATATGGATCAGAATCTTGTAGATGGCTTTTTAAAACACATATTTCTGAGCTCCGTCACCAGAGTTTGATTCCGCGGGTCTAGTATGGGCTAGAGAATTTCTAACAAGGTTCTAAGTAATACTGATGCAGCTAGTCCACGAACTATACTTTGAGAACAATTAACTTCAAGAAATCTCTCTAAAAAAGCATAACCCTACACCCCTCAGCCACCATGGTCAGGACAGAAAATAGTACATTTGTTGAATATAGGTTTGGGATATCATAGATTGCACAGATGATTACTAACTATTTTTACATCATCATCTGTGCTACAGACAAGTACATATTATCAACATTTGAGATATGTTTAATGCTTTGTGGAAAGCCAGAGGGAAATAATCTCAAAATATTAAGAATGTTAGAATACCTAATTTATATAGGACTTCAAAACTTTTAAAGCATCTTTGCATTCACTTTGTCAATTGAGTTTCACCATCTTTCTGTGAGACAGGCACAGGAGGTATAACTTAACCCATTTGATAGATGAAGAAACTGAGAATAGCAATATTAGATGACTTTACTTCTTAGCGGTTCAGCCAACCATGGAAGTTAGATCACCTAACACTTAGCTTTAGGTAATAGAAAAAACAAAACACTAATAATCTTTTCTCTACTTGAAAACCATTTCACTTAACACCAAGTACAGCAATTACCCTTAATTCATCTTTAAATTAATTTCATGCAACTAAAGAGAAAGGTTTTTGAAGGAAAAGCAAATAATAGTATGTTGGACAGTTGGTTTAACTGTAAAATGAGGGGGCTGAACAAACAACCTTATATTTTTAAATTTATTGAATGTAATTATTTTATAAAAGAGATATTTAACAGTACCTTAGTAAAGTAAAAAGAACTAACTGAAGCTAGTAATAAAGTGAGATCATTTTGCACACACACATATTCATGGTATGCCCAAATACAATCAAGGTACTGCATTTACCATGGTTCTATAGCCATGAAAAGATGGCTTTTAAAGAAATATAGATCATTGAAAGAGTCAATAAAACCACCGTGGTCATTTGATTCTATGATCTACATGCTGATGTTTTAGATAAACAAAGAGGAATTCATGCCTTTAAAGTATCATCCCTTAAAATGTGTGTTATCCAGGAGTACTGCTGTATATGCCATCATGCTAAGACACAACCACTGCTAACATGTAGATAAACTAGTAATTTTATTGGCTGTTACATATATTCCATATATGAAAGCTTTTTGGGTTACATTTCATCTTTCACTACTGTCAAAAGTAGATATGATCCAGGTATACTTGTATTACTTGATTAATATAAAGTCAATATTTCTATTACAAATTCTATTTTCATGGATTCATAACATAATCATAAAAATTTACTCAACTGAAACATGGCATAGAAAAGTCCGACTTAAGGTTATTTGTGATGCCAAATGTCTTTCCACTACTACCCCCAAAATAAAGACATTAAGACACTAACTGATTATTAGTATATACAAATTTAGCATATGGGAGAATCATCAAAATTTGGGGAGAGATGTTCTGTTACTGAAGCACAAAAATCCTGACTAGCCAAAAGAAAATATATAACAAGTTGCTCAAGCATTTTCATAAGGTTTTTTGATAGGTGTGATATTTTTATTATGCCTATTAAATATAACAAACACTGGGGATTTATAATATAAGGAATTTGATTGACATCTTAAGTAAATGTGTCTTTCATCAAGGTAGTAATGGTGATAAAACATTAATAAAGTGATATATATGATCATTAGTGAATTTTTCCACAAATAAACTAGCTTTTCTTTTTAAAGCATAATACCTGTGTGAAACAATGAATATTAATCTTATAGATGAAAATAATGAAGGAGAACTCATAAAGATATAGGAAAAAATAAAATTTAATGACAGAAGATATCTAAAATTACATTCAGAGACGTTTATGACATAAAAGCAGGAAGATGGTACAATGCCAATTGAACCCAAGTCCAAAATGTAATAATATAAGTTAACATACTGAGATAGGTACTGCATGGGAAATGAAAAATGAGACAGTGTTCCGTTGAACCACTGTTTTCCCAACTAGACATCTTAGAAGGACATTTCTGTAAAATGCTTTCTCCAGGAGAAAGTATTCGCCTTTTATGGGGACTCATTAGCATTTAAAGGTCTTGAAAGGTCCCACAGCAAAGAAAATTGATCACGTTTTCCAAGTTTGACCATGAGGCCCAATTTTATATAATACCTGTTAACATCTTGCAAAGACCTGTTTTTGTGACATGTTCTCCTACAAAATTAGATTTGGCTATTAAAAATAATAGGTTTTGAGATGAGCTCAGTATGTTTGAAAAATTATCTGGCAAATACATCATAGTACTTGCTTCTGCTTCCATTAAAGGAAGGACTTGTTTTCTTGAATGCTTCTTCCAAATATAAAATTATATGATGCAAAAATGCTTAAAAGCAGATTTGATATTCATGTCCCTATTTAATTTTTAGAAAAATCTGAACTCATTCAATCAAATGCTTACGAGCTTCCACTACTTAGGTAAAATGTATGTAACCTTCTAATTCATTCTGAATTATTTATCTATTTCTAGTGTACAAATATTCCTTGAGTGAATTATTTGCTTAGGAGATTTTTTTTTCATTGACCCCCATGGTCAATGAAACACTTGGTCTCTTCAAGTGTTTCTAGCTAAACAACAAAGTTAAACTTAAATTTTTTTATATGTAATTCATTCCCTTTCTCCTTTGCATTAGCATGAATAATGAAGAATTCATGACATTATGATGTTTTAAATGTCAGAGATTATGAAGCTGTCTTGCTTGTTACAGTAAAAACTTCATTAAAGGCTATCATGTATTCAGAGTAGTGTGTAATTCAAAGCAGCTGCACACCCATCTCCTCTTCCCCAGATGTACTATTGTCCTTTAAATGAAAACATCAGATTATCCAAGTACTTTTAAATTTCAAGCCTAGTTTCTAGGTGCCAGGCACTTCAAGGTAACTACATTTTAATAGTTTTTCTAGTCCCTTAGCATCAAACCTATCAAAAATGATGTTTTCCCACTGGTTCCATATATTTTGAAGGAATGGCTCCTATTGGGATGATCATTCAACACTTAGTTATATACTATCTTTGCCGAAGCCTTATATTTTAGCCTTATACTTCAGAAACATTTCAATATTATAATTACTTATCTTAAAAGTACTTTGGTCATAGGAGGAAAGAATCTCCTCTTCCTCATTGCAGGAAAATATTCACTTGTGGGGCTGGATTGCCTCAGTTATTTTTTTAAATCTATGAAGTATGTGAGATTTTTTAAAAGGTGATAAGTACTCACTAAAATGTGCTATTTTGGTGGGTGCATGTCATGAATAGTGAAAGTTTCCTAACAACATGTGTGCTTTAATTGTTTTTCCTAAAGAGATTATATTTGTCATTAAGAAAAGGAAGATTAAGTGACTATGGGAGTCATGAGAAAGTGATGATCCTAAAGTATCTTAAAAGATCAAGACAGAAGAAAAATTCATGTAAAATATTCTTCTTTATCATATAGTAGCCAGAGACAACTTAAACCAAAATCAAAATAAATGCTAATTTCATATCCTTCTGTCTTCCTTCACATGGTGTATTTTTATGAAGCTGACCTTCTCTGTCACTAATAGATTTTGTGAATTACCTTTTGCAAAGGGAAAGATAAAACCTATCTTTATGTAAACCCTTCCACATGACAAAAAAACTTACAAGCACTCCAAACTTACGGTTTTGGCACACCAACTACATAGCATTCAGGGAGGAGAAAAGGGTTTAGCAGAAAGTGTATTTAGGATGAATGCCACCCACCATCAAGTAATGGTTTAAGTAGAAAGTAATCAGAGGGAGACCACAGCAGCTAAATTTCAATCGAAGATATTCTAGGTTTAGAACAATAAATAATTTTAATCAGGTATGTACCAAGGCACAAACAGGACTCTAAAGCTATAACTCAGCCTGAATAAGCACTCAGAGGCTGCCGGATCAGCAGCTGCCCCATACACAGCACACCACCTGATCTTCCATTAAAATTTCTAACGTCTTCAGTACAGAGAAACCCATATGTTCTAAAACTTAAAAACTCTGGACTGGAAAACATATCTACTATATTAATTTAGACAGCATCTTTCACCTACAAGGGAACATATGTCACAAGGTGAAAGGGTGTTATGGAAATGCTGATATGGATGACGAGAGAGGGACACACATGAAAACCTTAGCACCTTCCTAGAGTCCTGCCTTATTAGAGCCAGAACTGCCTTATAATAGTCTTTTTAGTGTGTTAGTAACTAAACACTCTTGGAAGGGGCCCAACACGAACCACCTCACCAGGAGCCTCAATGAGGTAACATGACACTTAAGCTTCCACAAAAACCAGTGTCTACATTTGATGAATAAGTCATTAAGACAGTCTCTAGGATGCTAAAGGGATTACTTTTCTTATCAGGGCACACAGCCTTGTATATATGCATCAAGCTGCAACTCATCGTTTCAAGGGAATGTCTGGCCTCCATATCAGAGTTTATTATTTGATGCTATGAGACTACAGTGAGGCTGATAAGGCACACTCTGGAATACTGCAAGGAATGAGTTGAAGCCAAAAAGAATATGGTGCCTGAGTTGTTAAAATCTTTATCCATGGTTAACTTGGCCTAAAACAAATAAAAGCTATACAATACGTGAATGAAACAAATTCAAATTCTACCTCCAAACCATGTGGTTCATTCTATAAATGAAACTTGTTAATCCCAAACATATTGTTTTTTATCTTAGGGGCCTCAGCTACTCCCTAGCAATATAACCAAGAAAACAAATATCAAGATAAGAGTCATTTGAGTACCTTCATTTTTGCCACCTGCCTAGCTCACCCAACTTCCTTTCAATCCTTGCAACTCCCACATGAGTTACTCACTGAGTTATGCCCCTAGAGTTGCACTAAAGTAAACAGAGTATTCACTGGTGTAGTCAGCTGTCAGGACAGCCTCCTCCAATGGCTAGGATACTGTGGATAACACAGAGCAGGTTTCTTTTTCCTTACTGGTGGCGCTCTCCTCACAGATCATGCTCATGGTTTTAAGAAGAAAGTAAAATCTGGTTCAGTTCAGTCTCTAGCTAAAGACTTCTGTATTAGGAAGCATAATTCACATCTATTGTAAATGTCATCATGCCTGTAAGCTCTAGAATATATTTACACAGACAATGCAGGGCTTTCCTTGATGAATGCCTTAGTTTTCCCTTTTTCCAGGAGTCTTGCATATCAAAACTTTGGGAGATTTCTTTCTAGTGATTCTGACAGTATTGACTGAGGCATGGCCTCATTTTCTTGAAGATTCTTGGCTATTGTTCAACTGTTCACTGAAGACAGGCTTTGCAGTTACATTTCCCCTTATCATGAATGTAGTGAACAAAAAAGCCTGGTGAATCCTCAAAGCATAAAAACAGAGTTAGTGTCCAGGAAGCTTTCCCTCAAGCTGTTAACACAAGGGAGGGAGGCTGTTAGCATAAGTTATTCCCTTCACCACAGGGGCTAGGAGAAACCTTGTTAAGCCATGAATTTCAGTCCGAAGTGATCTGTGCTGAAAAATGGGATGAGCAGATTTTCTTGGGCAGATTCCAAGAGGTGTTTACATCCAGGGTTGCTCCCTCCCCTTGTCTCCCAGCTCCTCCCAGGATGGATGGTACAACCCCTGTTTACCCAGATGCGTTTTAATAATCGAAACACCCAAGCACCTGTTTTTTTTTTTTTTTTTTTTTTTTTTGCCACTAAGGAACTATCAAGTAAAGTGTCAAATATAGTACAGTAACACAAAGGGCGCGAATTAGGAGCGGGTGCAATATCTGGAGAAGCGACTGGGGAAGGAGAAAAGGAGAGGGGAAGGCGTCTTATTCAAGTATGATTTCTCTCGGGTCCTGGCATTGGCATAAAATGGCATCTGCCTCTTAGTAAACATGGCTAAAGCCCAGTCCAAAGGAATTTCCGCTGGCCGATTTAGGAATCAACAGAATAAGGTACCCTAGAGGTGCTCCAGTCACTCAGGGCAGGAGGCCTCACAGGCATGGGGTGTCGCCCCTTCCCTTTTTCCACGAAGCTCCTCCAGCCTACCCCTCCACTGCTCCGCGCCTTCATTCTATTTCCCCCTCTCACTTTGGATTTGAAAACTGGGCTTACAGGAGATGCAGCTGGCGACACGCGGGGTGTGACTGGACGGAGGAATCCAGAGGGCAGCTGAGGAGGGCGGAGAAAGGTCCCTAGGCAGCGCCACCAAGCAAGGGGCAGACAAGGAAGCTGTGGGGGGTCCCGGGAGAAAGCTGGGGCGGGACCGCGGGAAGGGAGTCTCACCTCGCGCACTCACCTGCTGCTGCCGCCCGAAAGCTGCGAACCGTGTTGCCTTCGCGCAGGAGCCGAGGGCGCCAGGGCTGCGAGCCTCCCTCCAGGGAGCCCGGTGTCCGGGCCGCCTGGACCGTGCTGTACCTGTCATAGAGCCGCAGCATGTGTTCAGAGACCTTGTCTTGCGGCTGCAGCTCGGAGTCCGGGCCACCACCTGCCGTGCGGTCACCTGGCACAGCTTTGCGGAGCTCCGGGAAAGGTGGCTTCGGTCTCTCTCCCTGCGCCAGGCTCACGCAGAAGCAGCCCAGCCACAGAAAGAGCAGCCTGCTCGCCCCAGCCATGGCTAGGTACCCGCGCGGCGCGTCGGCTCCCGGCGTCGCTGCGGGACACTCCGAAGGCGCAAGGAGCCGGCGGCGGAGCCGAGGGTTGAACTCCAAACCAGCTGGGGCGAGGGCGCACGGAGCCCGGGACGCGGCCGGGTGCAGCGAGATAGCGGCCAGCCCCACTTGCTGCGCTGACCCAGCGCAGCCTGACAGGTGGGCTCTTCCCCAGCAGCTGCGCGGACCTCACCCGCGCAGGGCGCTGCGGGCGCCGTCTCCACTCCAACGCTGAGAAAGAGCTGTAGGTCGCGGCGTGTGTGGCCCGGGTGTTTTCAAGATCTGTCTGTACCTTCCCTCCTCGCTTTATTTTTGGGAACACCCGGCCAAACTGGCCGCGCGAGGGACTAGGACTAGCTCTGTTTTGGGCGCCAGGTCGGAGCCGGGGCTGTGCGCAGCGGTCCGGAGGGCGCTCGATTGCCTTTTCCAGGGATTGGAGCAGCTGCGGCGCGGCTGGTCCGAGTTTTTTAGTGTACGTGTGTGTGTGTGTGCGCGCGCGCGCGCGCGTGTGTGCGTGTGTGTGTGTGTATGAGAGAGAGAGACTTAGTTCTTTCGCTCTCTAGCTGATCTGTAGAGTCCTCAGCCAATCTCTCCCACTCCCTCGTCCTCGCCCTCTTAGCTTGCACCAGGCTGGGATAGAAGCAAGGGAGGGGGGGAGTAACCAGAGAACTGGCAGCGGGAGGGAGAGAAGAGGAAGTAGGGGTGGGGATGGCTGGGGAGAGGAAGGGAAAAGGAGATTCAGGACTAAAGAAATGGTAGGAGGGACGGTTTTTTTGTTTTGTTTTGTTTTGTTTTTGTTTGTTTTTTTTTTTAATTCTCCAAGAACAGTGGCTGTGTGGTGGCTAGCAAGAGGGCAGAGGAAAACAGAACTTCTTCCTGGCTTTTCGGTCTTATGATTCCAAACAAAGTCACAACGTGAACACCATTCTCGCTTACTTTCCCGAGCCTCTTCTGACGGACACTGCGGGCCCCTGCACCTGCAGCCCGTCATCATAGCTTCCTGTCTTTCTGAGAGCATACCCATCATAACGCCCCTCTCTCCCGCATCATCTTCTCTCGAGGTGAGAAATATGTGCGAGTCAATATCATGTTAAAAACAAATAAGAAAACAAGCAAACACACCACAACCCCACCTACAGCTTCCCCCAAAGGTTTCCTTCCTACAGGTCCCCAAAAGGTTTCCCAGCAGGATGGTGCAGTGGTGGCTAAAAACAAGGGTGTGTGGAAGATCCCGGAGTCCGGAACAGAATGTAAGAGTCGCTAGCTTTGTCTTCCTAATTCTCTCTTGTCATGGCTGTACAATGGAGATTAAACTATGAGCAGCCTGGCGCAGTGGCTCAGGCCTGTAATCCCAGCACTTTGGAAGGCCAAAGCGGGTGGATCACGAAGTCAGGAGTTCGAGACCAGCCTTGCCAACATGGTGAAACCTCATCTCTACTAAAAATACAAAAATTAGCTGGGCGTGGTGGTGCGCACATGTAATCCCAGCTACTGGGAAGGCTGCGGCAAGAGAATGGCTTGAATCCAGGAGATGGAGGTTGCAGTGAGCCGAGATTGTGCCACTGCACTCCAGACTGGGTGACAGAGCAAACTTTGTCTCAAAACAAAAAACAAACAAACAAACAAAAAACAACTGTGAGCTAACATTTTTCTCCACACTTATGCTCTAGACATGCCTTGTTATTTATATTTCAAGTATATTACCAAATAATTTTCACAGCAAAACCCATTTTACAGATGAGGAAACTGAGGCAAAAGGATACATAGTAAGTGACAGAACTGAGATCCAAATTCAGGGAGTCTGATTTCTGGCCTCAGGCCAGATAACCACACTATTAATAGTGAAATTAGCATTTAAACTGAAGTTTCAGTGTGCAATCCATGTAAATGTTTAGTGCAGTTCTTGACCATATGCAGTAAAATCTTCAGTCAATGTCTATTGCATTTATCCCTCTTCCCCTCTGTAGGGCAATGGAGTTGATCGAAAAGAAGATAGGCTCCTGGAGTCACACCATGTCTCCAGATCTGAGTTTCTTCTTTGATGGTGAATAACAACACATTCCTTTTAGAGTTTTGTTTGGATGACATTAGAAAGCAGTGCTAAAGTGACTGGCGCACTCACTAGCCTTTAATAGGGGCTCAATCCCTTTCTATCCTAAATTTATCCCAAATCCAGACTACATTCTCCCCACTCAGTCACTTCTTAACCCACTGCGGTTTGGATTTTGCCCTTAGCCACCCCGGGAACTGTTCTGCAGATAATAACACATATTTCAAGAGTAGTTGTGAGGATTAAATGAGATCATGTGTTTGATCTTTGCTTGGCATAAAGAACATAATAGCTTTTGTGATTAATAATGAAGATCTAATTGCAAAATTCAATAGGCCCTGGAAACTCTCTCTTTGATTTTTTCCCTGTGAACTATTGGTTGTTTTTCCATTCCTTTCTGCCCTTTCTCAGTTCTGTCAGCTGCCTCCTCTTTCTAGGCCTGCCTCAAGCGTTCCTGACATCTTTACTCTGCCCTTGGAAAATGCCAAATCCAGAAGAAAATTCTTTTTCAGTTCTTCTGCTTTGGTGGTCACCTCTGGCCTTTAAATATATAGTTCTGGGTCCCCCTCAGCTCCAGTCCTCCTTGCCAAAGAAGTTCATCCTCTTCCCCTTTGAAACCATCTTTGAGACTTCCCTCCCTTTAGCTACAGTGCATATTTCTGTCACAACATTTGCCACTCTGTACTCCACATGATTCTTCATTCATAGATACTGAAGACTGACAGCATGTCTACAATGGCTCCCTTCCCTTTGCTGCACCTCCAATCTGTTATTTAAGCCATAAGCATAAAATAAGAGTGCCATCTCACAGGGTTGTAGTAAAGAATAATTGGATAGTCCATTTCAAGAGATTAGCAGAGTGCCTAGCACATAGCAAATGCTTAAAAAGAGTCGGCTGAGACCTAAGAGAATCGCTTGTCTGTTTTTGTCTAAGGCAGAGATCAAGGCATACCCATCTTTATATTTTAATGACCAGCCATGTCATTCAGAATAATCATAGTAACAGGGGATGATGAGCAAGTAGAATAATCCCTAACAGAGATTCCCAGCTGTAATTCCAGACTAGAACAGAATATGGATATGGGAGCCAGCAAACCAGAGAACACTAGTAGCAACCAAATTTTGGACTTATAATAACTCATTTGCAACTAACATACATCCAGGAAGAGGGAGCAATGGATGAAATGGATGAAGCCAGCAGCAGCATGTCCAGCAATGACAAATAAATGGCACCCCTCCCAGACTCTTGGAATGACTTCTTGGGAAATTGAATTGAAAGCAAATTAAATGGGAAAAAAACAATTCCCTCATCAGCACACCTGGAGATGCCATCTTGTGATATTCAAGACAGTAGCACAGTGTTTCTTTTATCAAAGGCTGCAGAATCCCAGCTCTGGATGGATTAAATTGTTTCAGAATGCTGGCATCTTGAGATGCCTTCACTCAAATGGTTTAAATCATAGGATTCATATTTCTGGCTGAGCATCTGGTTTCCTTGATGTATGGAGGATTTGCAGCTTTTCAGGAGGAACTGAATTGAACATATTGGTAGTATACGTGCCTTGTATTTGATCTCTCTGTTGTGTTGCATTAATTAAGAGTTGTTTTAATTTTTAAATAATAGGTCTTTCCTATTTTATGTTAGAGGTTGTGACTGTTATAGCCAACTACTGAATCAGAGGATACTTATCAATCTTTTTTCCCAAACACAAGGAGAGTTAAAGGAAAGCATTTCTAAAACAGAAAACAACAGCAGATTAGTGGATTAGTGGATTCTGTTGCATTAAACTCTACTTTTGACTATAAAAACCCTATGTGTGTATGTATGAATGTATGTGTATTATGCTTGTCTTTATTGATATTCTTGAGTAATATACATTTATTTTCTAAAAACTTCCCATCAACCATTATTATTGAATACTTATGTAAGACTATATTAGCAGTTGTGAAGTTTTGGTTCCTTCCTCTTTTTTATTACTCCCATCCTTGATTCATTCACTCAATACATATTTAGTATCTATTGTGTTCTTGACAATTTCATGTTGAGAATACAAAGATAAAATGAAATGCTTCCTGTCCCCTGAAAACTTAGTCTACTTGGGAGATAGGAATAACCACTTGAAAAACTTAAAGGTATTTTTTTTTCCCCTGGCTGAGTAAGGCAGAGAGTGCTGCATGGGAGAGATGGTAGTTGAACTGAGATTTAAAAGCAAAGTAGGTGGTTTTCCGGGGGTATTTTAGATAGGCTATTTCAGACAGAGAAAGAATATCATCTACACTTAGGTGGGAGAAGTCTTTCTTCTGGGGTCCTCTTCCAAATTCATACCAATCTTTCTCTCCATTATTTCTTTAGTTAACTCACTTGAGTTATATGCTTGTATTTAGTTACCAATAACTCCACAAGTATTTCTAACCTTAAGTCTCTACAGTATTTCAGCTCCCCCCGCCCCAGTTTTTATAAACTGTGTTTATCCTGTTGATATCATAAATTCAGTGCATCTAAAATGAAACTGGTCATCCATCTTAATTATATTCTTGGTTTCCAAACCTTTATGTTGGCACTCTTATCCTTTTAGCCATCCACGTTCCAAGTCTTAGACTTCTATTCACCTTCTCCTTCTCTCTGAGCAACATAAATTAATTGCTAAATCATATAGAGGCTATCTCTGTTATTTCTTTCATTTATTCTCTTTATTTCTATTGCAACTCCTTTCATTTAGTTATTAATTTATTTTAATCTAGGCTATGTTTTTAGTCTCCTAAATAGCTTCCAGTTTTTCCCCACTCCAGATGAATCTGATTTCTATTGCTGCATAACAAATTACTACAAACTTAGAGGCTTAAAACAACACCCAATTATTATCTCACCATTCTGTAGGTTAGAAGTTCAGTGGGGCTCAGCCACGTTCTCTGCTCAGGATGTCACATTCAATGTGTTGGCCAGGTGGTATTCTTATCGGAAGGCTCTGGGTAGAAATCCTCCACCAAGCTTATTCAGGTTTTTGCAGAATCAAATTCCTTATATGTAATTGTAGGACCGCGGTTCCATATTCTTACTGGCTTTTAGCCAGGGCTTGTTATCAGCTACTAGAAGCCACTTGCCATTTTTTCTGTTTGTTCCCCCTCCATATTAAAAGCAGTAACAAATAATTTTTTGCATGTTGAATACAGTACTTCTAATTTCTTTCTCCAGAAAGAAACCCCATCTTTGTAAAGAGCATGTCTGAAGTGAGGTCTGCCAAGGATAACGTCCCATTCTTAAAGCCAACTTTTCCATTTAACATAAGTGAATCATATAATATGCCATCATATTCATAGTCTCCTCCAACATTCAAAATGGAGGGGATCGTACAAGATCATGGGTCACTGGGAATCACTTTAGAATCTTGCCTACCAAGTAACCATGTAAATACTGCCACTAGATTTATGTTCCTAAAACTTAGCCCACGAATGTTATAAACTTTCTCAAAAAACAATAAGTAACTGCTCATTACCAACTAAATTAAAAAAAAAGAAAAACCACCAAACACCTCAGTTTGGTACTTGTAGCCTTGCCCAATTTGTCCTCAACCTAGTTTTCTGTATCTCTCTCCTTTCTCACGTATCTCCTATGCACCAACCATACTATGTGCTTCTTCTCAACTTTCCTTCACTTGGCATATTCCATTGCCTGGTTTGTCCTCATTAAGATGCATCTGAAAATGCTACCTTTCTCATGATGTGATGCCTAATTAGTCTGATGTGTTGTGAGCTCTTAATCCTTTATTTTTCATAGCATTTAGTACTTATAGCATTAAGAGATTCTGTGATATGCTTCTTTTGTTTACTTTTATAAAGAAATGACTGTTTCTCTAATAAAATAAAACGCAGCTCCTCCAGGCTTGGCAGTACTGGGAGAACATCCACCTGGAGAGGGAGTGGCTGGACCTCTTGTCTGAATCCTTCTCCAGAAATTTTCCATCTACCGATCCTTCTCTGGCTGATTCCTATTTCTACTGTACTGCACTGTGGGATTCTGCTACTCTCTTCTCACTTATTCTGCCCTAAGCTTGAATACACAGATCATCCTTAATTTTTGTCTCAGATTTGAGACAAGCCTAGAACTTGCTGACAATAATTGACTACAGGCTCATGGGAATAAACACACAGAGATCAACGCATACCACCATATTAGGTTGGTGCAAAAGCAATTGCAGTTTTTGCCATTGCTTTTAATGCCAAAAACCGTAATTACTTTTGCACCAAACTAATATATCTGGCAAAAATTTTTGCTCTTGATTTCCTGCTATTTGGGTCTTTTTCTTCCTGGCTCCTGTCCCACTATCATTTTTGCTAACAATTTTTTACTGAATATCCACTATGAACCAGACGTTCTTCTAGGTGCTGGAGATGCAATTGGGAACGAAGTGAAAGTTTGTCTCTTTTTTTAAAGTCTAGAGTCAAGACAGTAAGATCAAGAGAGGCAGGAACAGATGTTCCCTCTCTCATTTGTTCATACCTATTCATCAAATGTACATTATGAACCACACACTGTTCTAGAAGCTGAGGATATAGCCATACAAAAGACTTGTGAAATCCCTACCCTCATGGGGTTTATATTCCAAAAGAAATAGACAATAATCTCAAACCAAAAAAAAAAAAGTATTTTCTAGAATACCATGAAAACAGTAGAACAAAGTAGTAGATCAAGAATGGTGTGTATGTGGGTGTGGTAAGTGGGCTGATTCTCTGGCTGAGAATGGGTGGAGTGGTGGTATTCTAGGGTGGTGAGGTGGTCAGGAAGGGCTTCTCTGAGGACATGGCATTTGAACTGAGACCTATATGATATGAAAAACAACCATAATAAAGTCTGGAGGAAACATGTCACCGACAACAGGAATAGCACTTGGAAAGGAGGGCTGCCTGCTGGGGACTATCCAGTGACTAACGATCTCCCATTTTCTTAGTGATTTACATTGAGAATAATCAGTCATTCAGGGGGCTTTACCCAAAGGTTTGGTCCTGTTCTCTGTCCTAAGTAGGAACATCAGACAAGAATCGAAGGGATACAACTGGGGTTGGGAGGAAGTGGAAGTAGAATTACATTAATTTACTTCTTTTTAGATGCAGGGACCTCAAAGGTAGGAATGTTATTCAACTTTTACTCCTCCTGCTTTCCCCTGATTTCCTTATATACCATTACCTGCTTAGTAGATATTTGCTGAGCTGAATCAGATTGAATAGTGACAAGCGAAAGAGGTGTCATATCAAATATCTCCTGCCAAACACATTTGTTTTCCTATATAATATACAGAATAAAAAATATATAATCATATTCCTAAAGCCCAAAGTAATTTGATTTTAGCCTTTACTTATTTCTTCCTTTTTGAACTTCATTTCAACTGCCCTAAACTAAGACATTCCTTAAAATTTTAGTGATATGAAAAGTAAAGATGACTAAACAAATATAATAAAGAATAAGAATTAGTCAGCTCCTTAAGGGCAGAAACTGTGTTTTATGTATTTTTGCATCACCCATAGTCACAGGACCCAAACAAAGCCAAAATTAGCATTTTGAGATATATCTTCCCAGTGGCCTGTTTTCTATGCCAAGAGCATAGAATATTTCTGTGTGATTATATCTTTATAATCATATAAAGCATTTTGATTTTTTCTATTTAATTAAAAATAAAGAAATTGTATTATGGGAGCAGGAATCCCTTTTTATGCTGCTTTATATCCTCGTTCATATTAATATATCAGAACAACAGGCACACTAAGATTTTTTTATTTTTTTATTTTTTTAGAGATAGAGTTTTCCTCTTGTTGCCCAGGCAGGAGTGCAATGGCATGATCTCAGCTCACTGCAACCTCTGCCTCTTGGGTTCAAGCAATTCTCCTGCCTCAGCCTCCTGAGTAGCTGGAATTAAATGCATGCACCACCACACCCAGCTAATATTTTTGTATTTTTAGTAGAGACAGTGTTTCACTACATTGGTCAGGCTGGTCTCAAACTCCTGACCTCATGTGATCCACCCGTCTCGGCCTCCCAAAGTGCTGGGATTACAGGCATGAGCCACCATGTCTGGCCCACACTACGGTTTTATAAGTAATTAACATAGTCATATTTTCCTTTGTATTCTTCAATTCCACTTTTACTCAAAATTTCTACTGATAATGATGCTATGAGAATTTATCACTATGCCTCCCCACACCAAAAAAAAAAAAAAAGAGGTAGACTATTTTGAGTCACAGCATGACAAATTTTGCAAGCCCACCTTGAAGGTTTTCCTTGCACAGGCTGTTGATTTATTTCTTGTGATTTGATATTTGGAGAGTCTGTTCAGGTGCCCTTTGTACTGTTTCCCACGTGCAGCCTACAGGCTCTGCTCTGTGGAATGCTACCCACTGTCCTAATCTGTTTCTTTCTGCAGGCAGTTCAGCTGGCATCCTTCCTCTGTAATTTGTGTTTAAATTCTTATGGCTTCAGAAAGCCCTTCTTTTTACCAGCAGTTTTCTTTCTCTTGGTCTTATCAGCCATTTCTGTATACAGTGGTTTACCAGTCTGATTTTTGTCTTTTGGGAAAAGTTGTTACTTTAAAAATTGTTTTCTTCTTAAAACTTCTCTCTCTTTTTTTACTTAATTCCTTTGGTGATTGTTTTGTGAATTGAGTTTCTAAGAATGTAACAAATTTATTGCTTGCCCTGGCACTTGTGCCCTTCACAATGCATTGAATATTTCCATTCATTTTTCTATAGTCATTTTCTCCCAGGTGGTCATGTCTCCAAGCCCCCATAGGTAAAGATTAGCTGCCAATGCTGAAATACACGCAGCAACCTCTTTCCTTCTCCCCTGTCTGGCTCTAGGGTTCACTCCTCTCTTTATCATCTTCCACTTTCTTAATTCTTCCTCCTCTCATCCCTCTTCTTTCCCACCAATCCTACCCTTAAACGCAGTCCAGGAGATCTTGGCAATGGGACTGTGGATTGAAGAGGTTACTGACCTTCCAGTATCTGGAGCTGAAAGGCACTTAAAGGAGGTGATCTCATTTGTCACCTCAGCAACTCAGAGATTCATTCATTAGCATGGTTGCTGGCATCTGCCTTTTCACCCTACAAATTTCCAGGTGTAGCTGCTCAGATGACCCATGTAAAACCTTAACAGGATCAATTAAAGTTGCTTAGGTATGGTGATGAATGCTGTAAAAATATGGACAGATGGGGGTGTAGAAATGATAAATATCACCACTGGGGACTAATTTTACTCTTTACATGTGCTTCGGGGTTTCCAGGTGTTTTTCTGGCGTTTCTTCCTTGAAGGAAGTAGTTTAAAACTGCCCCTGGATATCTGCCCACGAAAAAGCAAACAGCTTTCTTTGACCACAAATGATCACCTACCAACAACTCCTCCACCCTGTTTTTCAATTTTTGAACTCTGGAGTAAATTCTTGCCTTATAAAATTAAGATCGAGATGACTCTGGCTATGAGCCAAGCTCTGCAAACCAGTTCTTTTACTGGGCAATGAAAAGTGATTGCATAAATGCTATATAAATATTTCAAGTATCTATGTTGTCAATCCTGGTAACTATTGCTGAGCTGTAAACAGAGCAGGAGTGTCTGGGTAGTGCTGGGCGAACTGAGAAGGATTTGACTGGACAGGAATGAAAATAGAATGGAAGCTGACAGATCCTAAGCAAGACCAAGGGCTGCTGCTTTTCTATTTTTGTAATACCACATCTATACTAAGTATGCAATACATTTTAATGAATTACATGTTTTCAAGGAAATGCAAATAATCAAATAGAGATTTGTGATTATCTTTGTAGCTAGTTCATGATGTATTTTTGGAGTCCTAGGCACTGACAAGGAATACCCCCAAGGAATCTCTTGCTGTCTTGTGACAGTTGTTCTTGCTTTAAAACATTCTAGAGCAAATTTCCTGGTAATATGACACACAACCAAAACCAAAATGTTAATCCTCTCCAGATCAGTGACTTTCAGATTTCATTCCTTATTATGATTTGATATATAAACATATGAGAAGTTAAATAACAATATTAAATGGGCATTTGAGTACGTTTGTATCTCTATTTAGAATGTAGCTTTTTAAAATTTTTAGAGATGGGCTCTCTGTCACCCAGGCTGGAGTGCCGTCGCTCCATCATAGCCTCCTGCAGCCTCTAACTTCTGGGGTTCCTCCCACTTCAGCCTCCCAAGTAGCTGAGACTACCAGTGCTCACCACCATACCCAGCTAGAATGCAGTGTTCTAAGGACAAGATTCATGCATAGCACTTGGAGAGCTTTTTGCCTACACTAGGTATTCAGTAAATACCCTTTAGGAAAGTAGTTGAAAGAAGAATATTGAAGAACAATTAGTGATATCCTAATTCTGTCATCTAAGATGGCAGAAAAATGAAAAGAGGCTTCCTTTTTTTTTTTTAATTTTTAAGCTGGCCATATTCTAGACCTCAATAGCCTCAACAGGAGCTATACAGAGGAACTACATGTTGCTAGCAGAAATTTGCTTTCTTTTTAGAAGAAAGGCAGCACTATTTTTCTTTCAGTGATGATTGGTTAAAAAAGAAAAAAGAACAACATCTACAATTTTTTTCTCTCTACATTCAGCACTTGCTCATAATGTGTGACCACTTTCTCCAGATCATTTAAGTGATGGATGCCATAATAGACATGCAAGTAATCCTACAGCAAACCTCCGTCCCTGAGTTCCTAGTTCCCACTTTTCTCTTGAATCATAAGTAGTAGACTAGCTACTTAAAATTAATTCAGGAAGTCAGATACAAGTCCCAAGAAAGGGCAGTGGGCAACCAGGCCTTTTCCAGGTGGTTTCAGATTGTTCCATTTCCCTCCAGCCCTCAGGTAGGAAGAGATTTCAAATGTTGATCTCCTTGGAAATGCCATGGTAAATGTCTCTCCTGTTAGGTGAAAGAAATCCCACCTGGTGGCAGTGTTTGTAGTCCCAGGAAATGCCAGGAAACAATTCACTTACTAACAACAATATTTAGGCACAAAGAATGGAACTACAAAATGTGTTTAGGGATCCCGCCCCCTCCTAATATAGAGATGGCTCAGACAGAACCAGACCCATCCTGATGTCAGGTAGTTCTGGGCATAAAGGTAATTCCTTTTGTTTCCACTTTAGCCCTTGAAACAAAGCAAAACCTCAGGGTACTGACTGATGTAGTAGGAGAGGAAGTTTCTTTCTGGGGATGGTCTCTATGGTGGCAGGGTACAGGAATTAATGGCCCCCAGGGCAGGACCCTTTGTGAGTTATGAGAAGGGAGCAGTCTTTCCATCAGCAATTCAACAGGTCCTTTCTTTGGTTCTTGACATTCAACCAGAAAATGTGGCACATATACACCATGGAATACTATGCAGCCATAAGAAATGATGAGTTCATGTCCTTTGTAGGGACATGGATGAAATTGGAAACCATCATTCTCAGTAAACTATCGCAAGAACAAAAAACCAAACACCGCATATTCTCACTCATAGGTGGGAATTGAACAATGAGATCACAAGGACACAGGAAGGGGAATATCACACTCTGGGGACTGTGGTGGGGTCGGGGGAGGGGGGAGGGATAGCAGTGGGAGATATACCTAATGATAGATGACACGTTGGTGGGTGCAGCGCACCAGCATGGCACATGTATACATATGTAACTAACCTGCACAATGTGCACATGTACCTTAAAACTTAAAGTATAATAAAAAAAAAAAAAAGAGTCCCCTAATAAAATGTAGATATCCCTGGGAAGGCTAACACCTTGAGCATTATCAAGTGGTATCAGTTAATACCTTAAGAGAAACTTAGGACAATTGCCAAAATTTGGTAGAGAACAAAAAAAAGGGAAGCAGAAACAGCATGCAATATAAAGTACTGCCTTCCTCACCACTTTGCTGAGAAGCAGCCCTGCTAGAGCCTCCAGAACAAGTGGACTCTGTCTTACCTCAGTGGCCTTGGGCAAGTTCTTCCTCTATGCTAGTTTCTAGTTTACCTGTTAAATGGAGAGAGTAATTCTTTTTCTCATGAAGGGTGTTGGGAGAATTTATGGTCTATAAAACATTTGAGATTTTCAGTGTGAGGCAGTTCATAAGTACAAAGTGTTATTATTGGTTTTATTGCAGGATTGTAAATGGAATCTAAGTAGCATCATACTGGCGTTATTTTGTGGAAGTAGTTATCTCCAGTTGTGCAGAGAGGTGGACCTATCTGCATCTACTTACCTGGCCATGATAGAAGTCCTATGAGATATTGAAAAATATAGATTAAGTCTTGATACAAAGGAAATGTTGTTGCCTTTTATTACCTAACACAGGTGTTTTATAGCATGTTTTATCTGAGAGTAATATCTGAATGCATAGCTAAGCCTGGCTCAAAGTCAGTCTGGGTAGGGATTTTTAAAAAATCCTGTGAAAAGGTGGGAAGGCCTTCTTTTCCACTTCCACAGATATCACTGTTATCCTACTCTTCATTGGCAGGACATACTCATATTCATTCTGGTTAAGGGATGGTACTTGTTTGTATCCCTTGTCTCTTTCCACATATAGAGATAGGACTAGAAGAGCCAAGGATGGCCTTTCACTTCATACTTGTTCAGGAATCTATGTTGACACTCCAGGGCCTAATGCATTTAACATTTGAACTTCCCAGTCTAGAATTCAAGGGTTTCTGTGAATCCCCTCCATCAAATTTACTTCCATTTTCATTTTTTTCCCATAAATTCAATACATCTATTTTATTTGCTGCTAGTAACCTACCTACTCTGTAGGGTAAACTCCATGACTCTGAGGACAGTTTCTGCCTCAGTACTATGAGAAGCATCTGGTACATGGTAGCTGTTCAAGAAATAGTTGTTGAATGCATGAATAAATGATTTAAACTCTGAATCCCTTTCCCTCATTCTCTCTCCTAATGTGTTCCTTGATTCTATAAAGTTTTGCCCAAAACTCAATTCCTTCAGGCAAGCTTTTAATTCAATGTGCCACATTACTGGAAATACACTACATGCTTGACATGAAATTATGATCTCCTTGACTGAGCCCACTTGATTGTACTCATCCTTCTATTAGACTTCATACTTAAATTTGAATTTCCCTCCTCTGATTTGCTGCTTAATGAAATGAGTGTTAATGGTTTTGTACATGTCATACACATAACAGAATGGGCTTAGGTATCAGATCAGAGCCCTAGCTTTGCCCGTATCTAAATTATGATTTTGGGTAATTTACCGATTTTCCCTAAGACTTAGTTTCTTTATGTATCTCTCTCTCTCTCTCTTTCTCCTTCTCTGCCACACCCCCGCCCCAGCCCCCAAACACACACCACAAGTGTTGTAGGTGATCAGAGACTATATGGGCCACTGGCATGGGTGGTAATGTCGTTTGGCTGTGTCCCTACTCAAATCTCATCAAGAATTGTAACTCCCACAGTTCCTACGTGTTGTGGGAGGGACCCAGTGAGGGGTATTTTAATCATGGGGGCGGGTTTTTGCGTGCTGTTTTCACAACAGTGAATAAGTCTCATGAGATCTGATGATGTGAAAAAGAAGAGTTCCCCTGCAAAAACTCTCTCTCTTTGCCTGCCGTCATCCATGTAAGACATGACTTTCTCCCCTTTGCCTTCTGCCATGACTATGAGTCCTCCCCAGCCATGTGGAACTGTAAGTCCATTAAACATCTTTTTCTTCCCAGTCTCAGGTGTGTCTTTATTAGCAGCATGAAAACAGACTAATACAGCAAATTGGTACCAGTAGAGTGGGGTGCTGCTGAAAAGATACCCAAAAATGTGGAAGCGACTTTGGAACTGGGTAACAGGAAGAGGTTGAAACAGTTTGGAGGGTTCAGAAGAATACAGGAAAATGTGGGAAAGTTTTGAATTTCCTAGAGACTTGTTGAATGGCTTTGACCAAAATGCTGAAAGTGATATGGACGACAAAGTCCAGGCTGAGGTGGTCTCAGATAGAGATGAAGAACTTGTTGGGAACTGGAGTAGAGGTAACTCTTGTTATGTTTTAGCAAAGAGAGTGGTGGCATTTTGCCCCTGTGCTAGAGATTTGTGAAACTTTGAACTTGAGAGAGATGATTTAGGGTATCTGGTGGAAACATTCTAAGCAGCAAAGCATTCAAGAGGTGACTTGGGGGCTATTAAAGGCATTCAGTTTTATAAGGGAAGCAGAGCATAAAAGTTTGAAAAATTTGCAGCCTGACAATGTGATAGAAAAGAAAATTCCATTTTCTAAGGAGAAATTCAAGCTGGCTGTAGAAATTTGCATAAGTAACAAGGAGCTGAAAGTTAATCCCCAAGACAATGGGGAAAATGTCTCCAGGATATGTCAAAGGTCTTTGTGGCAGCTCCTCCCATTACAGGCTGAGAGGTCAAGAAGAAAAAAGTAGTTTTGTGGGCCGGGCCAAGGGTCCCCGTGCTGAGTGCAGTCTAGGGACTTGGTGGTCTGTGTCTCAGCTGCTCCCTTTGTGACTAAAGTGGGCCAAGGTACAGCTCAGGCTGTGGCTTCAGAGGGTGCAAGCCCCACACCTTGGCAGCTTCCATGTGGTGTTGAGCCTGTGGGGGCACAGAAGTCAAGAATTGAGGTTTGGGACCCTCTGCCTAGATTTCAGAAGATGTATGGAAATGCTTGGATGTCCAGGCAGAAGTTTGCTGCAGGGGCAGGGCTTTCATGGAGAACCTATGCTAGGGCATTGCACAAGAGAAATGTGGGATCAGAGACCCCACACAAAGTTCCTACTGGGCACTGCCTAGTGGAGCTGTGAGAAGAGGGCCACCATCTTCTAGACCCCAGAATGGTAGATCTACAGCTTGCACCATGCACCTGGAACAGCCACAGACACTCAATGCCAGACTGTGAAAGCAGCCAGGAGGGAGGCTGTACCCTGCAAAGCCACAGGGGCAGAGCTGCCCAAGACCATGGGAACCTACCTCTTGCATCAGCATGAACTGGATATGAGACATGGAATAAAAGGAGATCATTTTGGAGCTTTAAGATTTGACTGCTCCACTGGATTTTGAACTAGAGTGGGGCTAGTAGCCCCTTTGTTTTGGCCAATTTCTCCCATTTGGAATGGGTGTATTTACCCAGTGCCTGTACCACTGTTGTATCTAGGAAGTAACTAACTTACTTTTGATTTTACAGGCTCATAGGCAAAAGAGACGCCTTGTCTCAGATGAGACATTGGACTTGGACTTTTGAGTTAATGCTGAAATAAGTTAAGACTTTGGGGGACTGTTAGGAAGGCATGGTTGGGTTTGAAATGTGAGGACATGAGACTTGGGAGGGGCCAGGAGTGGAATCATATGGTTTGGCTCTGTCCCCACCCAAATCTCATCTTGAATTCCCATGTGTTGTGGGATGGACCTGGTGGGAGTTAATTGAATCATGGCGGCAGGTCTTTCCCCTGCTGTTCTCATGATAGTGAATAAGTCTCACAAGATCTGATGGTTTTATATGAGGGAGTTTCCCTGCAGAAGCTCTCTCTTTGCCTGCTTCCATCTGTGTAAGATGTGACTTACTACTCCTTGCCTTCCACCTTAATTGTGAGGCCTCACCAGCCACATGGAACTGTGTCCATTAAACCTCTCTTTCTTTTGCAAATTGCCGAGACTCAGTTGTAGGTAAAGACAGGCAGATTTATTAGAGAAAGTGTGAAAATATGTTGCAAGGGTGCAATGGGCACATCAGCAAGAAAGGAGCTGTCAGGAAACGAAGCCTTTCTGGGGATTTTATAGAATGGTGCTTGTGCTGTGTGCTGAAGAGGGCTTTGTGCAGCACTAATAATGCCAAGGTTGCAGTGAGCTAACTTGCATTTTTCTGTCAGCCTGGGGTCTATTGATATCTGGGTGCAGGAAGATTGTGAATTATTTGCACAGCTGGGCTATGTGTCCTGAACCATACATAAAGGAAGGCAGAATTGTAGCTTATCTGCTTTCTCTTTTGCTTTGCCTTTGTCCCGCCAACCTGACTTCTTTGTCCTAATTAACACTCCACAACAAGTGTGCATACTTGTATATAATATTATTTGGATATTTGGAAGATAAAATTAATAAAGCCATTCTCCTACATTTCTAAGCTTCCTTTGGAAATGAAATAGAGTTCTTAGGTGGTTTCTAAAAAGATCAGTACATGGAGAGTAACGCTAATATAGGGAAACTACATAGTTAGGAAAGAACTTTGGCAAAATTTGCCATGTGGTCCAGAAGGAACATTAAGTTTTTTTAAAAAAATTTTTTCTGTGTACTCCTTTGTAAAATCTTGTACATTTATTATGATGTTTTCAAGGTTCATTCATGTTGTAGCATGTATCAGCACTTATTCCTTTCATTGTCAAATATGATTCCTTGTATGGATATACCAAGTTTTATTTATCTCTTCATCAATACTCAAATGTTGATGGACATTTGGCATGTTTCCATGTTTTGGCTATTACAAATAAAGCTGCTATGAACATTTGTGTTCAGTTTTTCCTTGATCACAAAGGCCACATTTTAAAAATTTAACTTATATCAAATATGCAGAATAGGCAAATCTTGGAGTGGGAGAGAGTAATTGTTTAATAGGGACAGTTTTTCCATTTTGCGGTGTTGTGAAGCTTCTGGAACTACCTTGCTTTCACATCATTGGTACACATACACACGCAAAACCTAGTGTAGTGCTAAGTTAATATCATTTGACTTGTGATTGGTTGGATCACTTGTTCCAGAAATAATTGGAACGATCCTGAAAACCTATGTACATAATGTTCCTTTACACCAGGCAATTTGCTGCAGAAAATAACCACTTAGTGTGAGCAACTTGTCCTGGTTTGATCATGACTATCCTGATCTTATCACTGAAATGTTCCTGTCCCACACAACCCCTCTTTCCTGGGCAAACCAGGATAGTTGGTCACTGTATTTGTCAAGGTTTTCCAGAGAAACAGAACCAATAGGCCACATACACAAACACACAGATAGAGATATCTATTTCTCTTTAGATTGATCTATCTATCTATGTATCTATCTATCTATCTATCTATCTATCTATCTATCTATCTATCATCTATCATCTATCTATCATCTACCAGTCATCTATCTAATCTACCTACCTATCTAAAGAGATTTATTTTAATAACGTGGCTCATGCGGCTATGGGAACTGGCACATCTGAGATCTGTAGGGCAGGTTTGCAGGATGGAAACAGTAAACATTTATATGTTGCTGTCTTCAGACAGAATTTCTTCTTCCTCAGGAAGCCTCAGTCTTTGCTTTTAAGATCTTTAGCTGATTAGACAATGTCTATTCACATTATAGAGGATTCCTGGTGGAGTACAATTTTGTTGTGTATATACACTACATTTTCTTTATCCATTAGTTCATTGATGAACATTTAGGTAGATTCCATATTTTAGCTATTGTGTGTGAACAGTGCTGATATAAATGTGGGAGCATACGTGTCTCTTCAATAAACTGACTTTTTTTCCCTTTGGATAAGCATCCAGGAGTAGGATTGCTGGATTGTATGGTAGTTCTACTTTTTAGATTTTTGAGAAAACTCCATGCTTTTCCATGTCTATACTAATTAATTTAAATTCTCACCAACAATATATAAGAGTTCTCTTTTCTCTGTGTCCTCACCTGAATTTATTTTTTGTCTTTCTGATAGCAGCCTGTATTAGTTAATTTTCATGCTGCTGATAAAGAGATACTCAGGATTGGGCAATTTACAAAAGAAAGAGGTTTAATTGGACTTACAGTTCCACATGGCTGAGGAAGCCACACAATCATGGCAGAAGGCAAGGAGGAGCAAGTCTCATTTTACATGGATGGCAGCAGGCAAAGAGAGAATGAGGAAGATGCAAAGCAGAAACCCCTGATAAAATCATCAGATATCATTAGACTTGTTCACTACCACAAACACAGTTTGGGGGAACCGCCCCCATGATTCAATTATCTCCCACCAGGTCCCTCTCACAAACTTGGTAATTATGAGAGTGTAATTCAAGATAAGATTTGGGTGGGTACACATGGCCAAACCATATGATTCAGCCCTTGGCCCCTGCCAAATCTCATGTCCTCACATTTCAAAACTAACCATGTCTTCCCAACGGTCACCTAAAGTCTTAGCTCATTTCAGCATTAACTCAAAAGTCCACAGTCCAAAGTCTCATCTGAGACAAGGCAAGTCCCTTCTGCCTATGAGCCTGTAAAATCAAAAGCAAGCTATTTATGTCCTAGATACAATGGGGTACAGGCATTGGGTAAATACAACCATTCCAAATGGGAGAAATTGGCCAAAACAAAGGGGTACAGGGGCCATGCAAGTCTGAAATCCAGCTCAGCAGTCAAATCTTAAATCTCCAAAATGATCTCCTTTTATTCCATGTCTCACATCCAGTTCATGCTGATGCAAGAAGTAGGTTCCCATGGTATTGGGCAGCTCTGCACCTGTGGCTTTACAGGGTACAGCCTCCTTCCTGGCTGCTTTCACAGTCTGGCATTGAGTGTCTGTGGCTCTTCCAGGTGCATGGTGCAATCTGTAGGTGGATCTACCATTCTGGGGTCTGGAGGACGGTGGCCCTCTTCTCACAGCTCCACTAGGCAGTGCTCCAGTAGGGACTCTGTGTGGGGCTCCAACCCCACATTTCCCTTTTGCCTTGCCCTAGCAGAGGTTCACCATGAGAGTCCTGCCCTTGCAGCAAACTTCTGCCTGGGCATCCAGGCATTTCCATACATCTTTGGAAATCTAGGCAGAGGGTCCCAAACCTCAATTCTTGACTTCTGTGCCCCCACAGGCTCAACACCACATGGAAACTGCCAAGGCGCGTGGCTTGCGCCCTCTGAAGCCATGGCCTGATGTCTATGTTGGCCCCTTTCAGCCACAGCTGGAGCAGCTAGGATGCAGGGCACCAAGTCCCTAGGTTGCACATAGCTTGGGTCGCTGGGCCCCGTCCACAAAACCACTTTTTCCTCCTTGGTCTCCAGGCCTGTGATGGGAGAGGCTGCCAGGAAGACCTCTGACATCCACTGGAGACACTTTCCCCATTGTCTTAGGGATTAACATTTGGCTCCTGGTTACTTTTGCAAATTTCTACAGCCAGCTTGAATTTCTCCTTAGAAAATTCGATTTTATTTTCTATCACATCATCAGGCTGCACATTTTTCAAGCTTTTATGCTCAGTTTCCCTTATAAAACTGAATGCTTTTAACAGCCTCCAAGTCACCTTTTGAATGCTTTGCTGCTTAGACATTTCTTCCACCAGATACCCTAAATCATCTCTCTCAAGTTCAAAGTTCCACAAATCTCTAGGGTAGGGCAAAATGCTGCCAGTCTCTTTGCTAAAACATAACAAGAGTCATCTTTGTTCCAGGTCCTAACAAGTTCCTCATGTCCATCTGAGAACACCTCAACCTGGGCCTTACTGTTCATATTGCTATCAATACTTTGAACAAAGCCATTCAATAAGTCTCTAGAAAGTTCCAAACTTTCCCACATTTTCCTGTCTTCTACTGAGCCTTCCAAACTGTTTCAACCTCTGCCTGTTACTGAGTTCCAAAGTCGCGTCCACACTTTTGGGTGTCTCTTCAGCAACGCTCCACTCTACTGGTACCAATTTACTCTATTATTCTGTTTTCATGCTGCTGATAAAGACATACCCAAGACTGGGCAATTTATAAAAGAAAGAGGTTTCACTGGACTTACAGTTCCACGTGGCTGGGGAGGCTTCACAATCATGGTGGAAGGCAAGGAGGGACAAGTCATGTCTTACATGGATGGCATCAGGCAAAGAGAGAATGAGGAAGATGCAAAAGCAGAAACCCCTGATAAAACCATCACATCTCGTGAGACTTACTCACTATCATAAGAACAATATGGGGGAAACCACCCCCAGGATTGAATTATCTCCCACCAGGTCCCTCTCACAACCTGTGGGAATTATGGGAGTACAATTCAAGATGAGATTTGAGTGGGGAAACATATCCAAACCATATCACAGTCATTCTAACTGGAATGGGATTATCTCTTGTTGTGGTTTTGATTTATATTACCCTGATGATTAGCGATGTTGGGCTTTTCTTCATATACTTCTTGGCCGTTTATATGTCTTCTTTAGATAAATATCTATTCAGAGTCTTGGCCTACTTTTTAATCTGACTTTTTTTTCTTTTTTTTTGCTGTTAAGTTCCTTGTTTATTTTGGACATAAATCCCTGGTTGGATGAATAGTTTGCAAACATTTCCTCCCATTCTACAGATTGTCTCTTTACTCTGTGGATTGTTACCTTTGCTGTGCAGATGCTTGTAAGTTTAGTATAGTTCAATTTGTCTATTTTTGTTTTGGTTGCCTGCAGTTTTGAAGTCTTAGACATAAAATCTTTGCTTAGACCAATGTCCTAAAGCCTTCTTAACAATATTTAAGTAAACAATACCATATTGTTAATTGTATGCACTGTGCTATACAGTACATTGCTTGGATTTATTCCAATGAATAAATCCAAATTGCTTGGATTTATTCATCTTGCATAAGTGAAACTATGTAATCTTTGATTAACAACTCCCTGATTCCCCTTCTTCTCTATAAAATGTTTTTACCCTTGTCATAGGTTGTTGGGAAAGAGTATGTAAAATATCACTTTCCTGGCTCAGTGTTTGATTCAGTTGGTATTCAACATATAGTGGCTACAGACAGAATAATAGACAGTTTAGGTAGTTAACATCCACTGGGCACTTTTGTATGCTAAGCACTGTGGTAGTCACTTTATAGGCATCATTTATTTAATCCTCATAATCTTCCAATTATGTAGTGATTGTTACTGTCTCCATTTAACCTGTTAACATAAATAGGCTTGGAGGGTATATTAGTTCATTCTCACACTGCTAAAAAGGACTGCCTGAGACTGGGTAATTGATAAAGGAAATAGGTTTAATTGACTCACAGTTCCATAGGGCTGGGGAGGCCTCAGGAAACTTACAATCATGGCAGAAAAGGAAGCAAACATGTTCTTTTTCACACAGCAGCAGAAGAGAGAAATGAGTGCCCAGCGAAGAGGGAAACCCCTTATAAAACCATCAGATCTTGTGAGAACTAACTCACTATCATGAGAACAGGACAAGGGAAATTGCCTCATGGTTGAGTTATCTCCATTTAGTCCCTCCCCTAACACATGGGGATTATGGGAATTACAATTTAAGATGAGATTTTGGTGGGGAAACAGTCAAATCACATCATTCCACCCCTGAACCCTCCCTAAATCTCATGTCCTCAGAATTCAAAACACAATCATGCCCTTCCAACAGTTCCCCAAAGTCTGAACTCATTCCAGCATTAACCCAAAAGTCCAAGTCCAAAGTCTCATGTGAGACAAGGCAAGTTTCTTCTGCCTATTAGCCTGTAAAATCAAAAGCAAGTTAGTTACTTCCTAGATACAATGGAGGTACAGGTATTAGGTAAATACACCCATTCCAAATGGGAGAAATTGGCCAAATCAAAGGGGCTACAGGCCCCATGCAAGGCTGAAATCCAAAAGCACAGTCATTAACCCATAAGGTTCCCAAATTATCTCTTTTGACTCCATGTCTCATATCCAGGTCACACTGATACAAGAGGTGGGATCCCATGACCTTGGGCAGTTCCGCCCTCTAGCTTTGCAGGGTACAGCCCCACTCCTGGCTGCTTTCATGACTGGCATTAAGTGTCTGTGTCTTTTCCAGATGCACAGTGCAAGTTGTAGGTGTATCTACCATTCTGGTGTCTGGAGGATGGTGGTCCTCATCTCACAGCTACACTAGGCAGTGCCCCAGTGGGAACTCTGTGTGGGGGCTCCCTCCCCATATTTCCCTCTGCACTGCCCTAGCAAAGGTTCTCCTTGAGGGCTCTGCCCCTGCAGCAGAATTCTGCCTGGACATGCAGGCATTTCCATACATCCTCTGAAACCTAAGCAGAAATTCCCAAACCTCAGTTCTTGCCTTCTGTACAGCTGCTGATCCAACACCATGTGGAAGCTGCCAAGGCTTGGGGCTTGCACTCTCTGAAACAACAACCTGAGCTGTACCTTGGCCAATTTTAGCCATGGATGGAGCAGCTGGGATGCAGGGTACCAAGTCCCCAAGGTCCACACAGCAGGGGGGGCCCTGGTCCTGCCCCAGAATACCATTTTATCTCTCTTAGGCCTCTGGGCCTGTGATGAGAGGGGCTGCCATCAAGGTCTCTGACATGCCCTGGAGACATTTTCCCATTGTCTTGCCCTTGTTACTTATGCAAATTTCTGCAGGGGGCTTGAATTTCTCCCCAGAAAAATGTTTTTTTTTTCTATCACATCACCAAGCTGCAAATTTTCCAAACATTTTTGCTCTGCTTCCTTTTGAACGCTTTGCTGCTTAGAAATTTCTTCCACCAGATACTCTAAATTATCTCTCTCAAGTTCAAAGTTCCACAGATCTCTAAGGCAGGGGCAAAATGCCACCAGTCTCTTTGCATAGCAAGAATGACCTTCACTCCAGTTCCCAATAAGTTTCTCATCTCCATCTGAGATGACCTCAACCCAGACTTTATTGTTCATATCAGTATCAGCAATTTGGTCAAAGCCTTTCAACAGGTTTCCAGGAAGTTCCAAACTTTCCCATATCTTCCTGTCTTCTGAGCCCTCCAAGTCAAGGAAGTTTCAACTTTCCCACATTTTCCTGCCTTCTTCTGAGCCCTCCAAATGATTCCAATCTCTTACTGTTACCCAGTTCCAAAGTCACGTCCACATTTTTGTGTATCTTTACAGCAGTGCCCCAATACCTGGTACCAATTTACTTTATTAGTCTGGTCTCACTCTACTATAAAGAACTGCCTGAGACTGGATAATTCATAAAGAAAAGAAGTTTAATTGACTCACAGTTCCACATAGCTGGGGAGGCCTCAGGAAACTTACAATCATGGAAGAAAGGGAAGCAAACATGTCCTTCTTCACATGGTAGCAGGAGAGAGAAATGAGTGCCCAGCTATGGGAGAAGTCCTTTATAAAACCATCAGATCTCATGAAAACTAACTCACTATCAGGAGAACAGGATGGGGGAAACCACCCCTATGATTCAATTATCTCCATCTGGTCCTTCCCATGACATGTGGGGATTATGGGAACTACAATTCAAGATGAAATTTGGGTGGGGACACAGCCAAATCATATCAGAGGAGTTAACTTATATTTCAAGGTCAAACAGCTAATAAATGGTACCATTAACACTGGAACTCAGACACTCAGGTTCCAGAACCTGTGTTCCTAATCCTTCTGTCACACTATTTGGAAAAATGAGTTAAGGCTAATGTCCTTACATGAGGCTAGGTTTGAATAATTATTCAACTAGCCATTTCCTAGCTGGATATCTTTGTGTGAATTATGTATGCTTTCTGAGTCTCTGTTTCCTTACTAAATATTAGTAATAATAACTGTAGTCAAAATTTTCATTCTTTGAAGACTCCGTGTTTGCAAATTCAACCTACTAGCTAAAATTTATTGGTATCCTCCAAATCAATACTGGGGCACTTTTGCAGTCATTCTTGAACATGCATGGAGTGAAAAAATGTGAGTCACCTAATCTGCACATTCCCAGCTGAGGATAAACAAGGCAACTCTGGCTTCTTATTTCAGTTCTCATACTAAAAAGAACTGTCCTTTCCACAGTCTACTGAGTGACATGTTTTTCACATTTTGTGTACTTTTGTTGGTAATTTCACTGTTTACGATGGTCCCCAAGCATGGGCTGAAGTACTGTCTAGTGTTCTTAAGCACAAGAAGGCTGTGGTGTGCCATATGGAGAAAGTACATATGTCATATAAGCTTCAATCAGCCATTACAGTAATGTGGGCCATTAGTTCAATGTAAATGAATCAATAATATAGATTATATAAGGTGTCTTTAAACAAAAACACACATAAAGCAAGGTTTTACATTGATTGGTTGATAAAATTATTGTGGCCAGAGGCTCCCAGGAACCTATTCTTATTTTTCCCTCAGGAGCAATGATTTAGTATTTGTTAATTCAGTGTTCATGGTGACTTTATAGATGTAACTATTTTGAATAATAAGAATTGCTTCTATTTCATAAGAGCATTGAATGGATTAATGAAGATCAGAAAATTGCAGTTTGATTGTTTTTTTTCTTTCAAGACTGCTGTATCATTCTAATTTAGAGATCATTTAGTGCAAATCCAACTATGTTGTTTCAATACATCATTTTTAAAAGGTATCCTTAAAAATACATGGTATAACCTACATCTTAAAGAAATTATAGTATTTTAAGAATTTTATAGTTGAAGGACATGTAATAAAAACTATTTCTTAATACATTTACTGTGAATTGTGGTATAGAATCAAGTAATTACCATTTCAAAAGACAAACTCTTACTGCTCCACTTCTAATAATTGATTGAAACAATGATAGATCAGTAAGCTTTTAAATGTCCCTACAATTGAACAGAATTCTTGAATTGTGCACTCAAAAAATTAAGATTATTAAGGGCTTTTCAGTAAAACAAACAAGAATTAACCATTGAAGAAAACTGTAAAAACTCATGTACATTGTAAAAATATTGAATTTATAGGCTGCTATCTAAACACGTCCTTTATTTGTCCACATTACTTAACTATCAATGTGGAAAATGTGATTCTTTCTCAACTCTTTTATGCTTTCATAAAATGTCTTATTAATGTATCCCAAAGACAGTAATTTCTACCATCCTCAACTCTCTTAATCTCTTCTCAAAATGTATATTTTATTCTTTGGAAGGAAATACTTTTGCATTTAAGATTTACAAGATTGGTTTCAAAAGACAACATTTAAATGCCAACCCAGTGGGATTTAGTGAGCTGATGGCGGCTCAGTTCTTTCTACTGGGAAAGTCATCCTTGGTGGATACATATGGCAAACTCCTGCTCAACCCTTGAGAAGGGGTTCAGATTTTACTCCCTTCATGAAATTTCCATAGCCAAAAGTAGCTTTCCTGTGTTCCTCAGTTGCACTCTTAATATACTGTGTTGTCTCATTTTTCACTATTATCACCTGAAGTTATTTTCTCTGTCTTCCCTACAGGGTCATGAATGGTTCCTAGCATGAAGAGGATGTTCAAGGAAGGCTTATTGAATGAATGAATGAATGAATGAATGTTACCTAAGTTCTCAGTTTTAGTGTGTGTTTAACCATAGCGTGTTGCCTTTCTTATCCAAGCCACATAACTAGTGTGTGGCATGTTGGCATTAGAGGAAAAAAAATGAAGATTTTCTCTTCTGTGAAAGGAGGTGAGTTCATGTCCTTATTGATTAAAAAAGAGGTCATTCTCAAATATGTTTTTTTCCTCCAACACTTACTTTTTTTAAGGAGTGATGAAGGGCATCTCCATCAATTGTAAAACAAACTGTTAGCTCTAATGCAGTGTGTGTTAACATTATGGATCTTACTGATGAATTTAAGATAAGTAACATTGAAGTCTAAGCCCCACTCTTGACCCCAGTGCCTGGAGAGCTGTGAGCATTCTGACATGTCTTATCAGTTACCTCAATTTAAGGAAAACTTAATGAACTTACTGATTTCTTGGTGTTATGTGATTCTTAGAATAATTTAGGTCACTTTTATTAGGAAATTGACCTCTATCATGTGGCCTTTCTTAACTAAATTTTTTGTGCTCCCTTCTTCCTCTCTTACTCTCTGCAATTGTCCCCAACTTTTGCCAGTTCTGACAAAGATCTGATCGCTTGTTTTATACTCTCATTGACACCACTCTAATTCATTTTCCTTTGTCCTCATAACTATGTTAATGCAGCAACTTCAAGAAATAGGTTTCCAACCTTCCAAATTCTTGATTCTCCCTCCCATCTATTTTGCACATAGCTAATGTATTCGTCTTTCTGCAGTATAAATTGCTTCTGCCTTTCCTCTGAGAAAAACACGTTTAATGATTCCTCATTGCCCATCTAATTAAGAATAAAAGGCTTGGGCAACTCAGGGAATGATCTTCCAGGGAGACTCCCAAATACTCTTGCATTTCTATGATCTGGCCAAAAAGTTTATGCTCTCTGTCCATTTTTGCTCACTGCTTTATCCTTAGGACACAAAATTGCATGTGGCACATTAGTAAGCACTTATACATAAGTTTTGGTTGAACAAATCAATTAAGAAAACTGATTTTAAATTCCCTTTGACTTGGTTTTATCTCTAAATGAAATACATAGTTCGATGATACTTCATGCAGACATACATGTAGTCACATACAAAGGCACTATGTATCTGTGGGAGACACGAAGCTATTAATTTAGTTCTAGCTCTGCTTTCCATCCAATCTACACATATTTAAGTTTCTTTAGCACTTTGCCTTTATACATTAAGCTTCCCAGAAATAGCAATGGTTTGTTGATGATTGATTTTGTCGTAGTCTATAAGCATATCTAGATGTTGTTTTTATTCATATTTCAGGATGTCTTAAAGTGAGGAAGTGATGAAACAATGGGACATGTGATTATTTGGCTTTTCCTCATTTCCTCCAGGCCCATTGCTAGCAAATCTTCAGTTTTCTTCTCTGCCATTATTCAGTGAGTAGGAAAGGTTAATGGGAAATCTCTTCAGTAAATATTACCTCAATTCAGTGATTTTTCTTTTCTATTGCATTTCCAGTGATACCACTTTTCTGCTCCATACTTGAGTTTTCTAAGCCTGCTTTATTTCTAACCCAACTTTTCACTACAAGGAGAGGGAATATCTGGTTCTTATCTCATCAGGTGCAGTGTTATTTTATATTGCTAAAGCAGCATAAACCAATTTTTACTATTTTTGCTTCTCTTGAGAAAACTTAAGGAAGCATAGATCAATTATTACCGTTTGCTGCCATTTACCATTATGCTGCCAATTGTTAAGGAGGCGTAGATCAATTTTTACCATTTTTACTTCAGTTGAGAAGAGCCTTTCAATTCTCACTAGTTGACCACTCTACCCATTAAATCCTGAGAATTCTTTCTTGGTTTGTGACAAAGGCTTGGCTCAGCTGTGACTTTTTAATCAGCTCTCCCGGGATGTCCATGGTGGCCTTTTCTACTTCTTTCTGGTCCTTTTTTTTTTTTTCTTGTTCCTACTCCCTTCTTCCTGTCCTCCCTGCATGTTTGTGTTCTTACCCAACATCTGCCCTTGGCCCAGGGGGCAATTTCCAGCTCTGGGTATTGTCTATTTTTTTTTTTTTCCTTTTACAACATCTCCCTCATGGCAATAAACACACATTTGCATTTCAATAGCAACGCCTGGGTATGTTTAAAAAAATACCATCCACATATAATTAATATTTAACACAGGAAATTCTGGTTCCCCTTTCTGTTATCTCTCCTCCCTCCCTCCTCCATCACCCATTGCTTTCAGAAGGGGGCTGCATTTCTAACACATTGCCAGCTGTGAGTGCAAGTGAAGCTTAAAATAGCCAGGCTTGACCGCTTGTGCTTTTCACACTTTGAACCTGTGATGACTGTTGTTCAACTTATGATTGTGGCTGCTATCTCTCACCTTTTTCCTCAGAGACTCACCACACCTTGTTTCATATAAACTATCCAGTACTTGACTTACAGAAAGAAATAATGATGACTCCTTTCTCTCACTTCACACCTCCAGGCAATCCCTCTGAACCATCACAGAAAAAGATGAAGACTGTAATTTGTATACTAATGCTCATGTTTCTCTTTTCCACTCTATCTTCAACCTCATCCCTACACCTCTAGGTCTGTACAAGTAGATTGAGAGTAAGAAAATCAGTGAAGACATACCAAAGACTTTTCACTGTTTTTAAGGAAGTAAAATAAAAACAATTTAATTTTGTATATCATTTGTAAATTTCAGAGTATTCCAATTTGCAAGCCACAATAATACTTTGGAAGTAGAAAGGACTATTATATTACAATATTATTAATCCAGTTTTCTAGGGAAGAAATCAAGGTTCAAGGAGGTTAACTGATTGTTTTTCCACCAACAAACTGAAAAATACACACCACACATCATAAATTGTTTTGCATTTTCTATCCTCTTGTAGTCCAGGATTAAGCTCATTCATTTATTCATTCATCCTCTAATATTTCTTGAACTCCTACCATGAGTGAGGCTTAGTGTTAACTGCATGTCTGGGTTGTGCTTATGTTAGAGGTATGGTTTAAAGTCGTTCTACAGATGTCTTAACTAACCTTTCTTTTCCCAGCCCCCTTAATGCATTAACTCTACTTTGATTCTCACATGTGATCTCATCTATCCTTCCTATAGTGGACCCATAAGAACAGATTTTCTGCAAGAATCAGCCAGGGCCTTCATAACTGCTTATAGTGACATTTACTTTTTCAAGAATTAATGGATTCTTATTTATTGGTCTCATATTTTCCTGCTTGTATACTTTTTCATGTTATTTTTTCTATTTAGGTTGTACAATGATGAAAAAATAAGTCATATATAAGTATTTTCCATCTCAAGTTGAGAAAAGCCACATAAACATTCTTCAACCTTTTATCAGACATCAACAATAACATATCTTATTTTTGATATAATGTATCAATGTTTAATAATAGACAAATCAGAAAAGAGCACAGCAACAAATATGTCTTTGATATGATATTTGAAATAATTTGGTCCTGGTGTAATAGGCAGTTCCACTCATTTGAATATGCATGAGACAGATAACAAGGACGATATGATGTTGCCATCCTCAAGGTTTTTCTTGAGTGAATTATTAAGGCAATAAAATATTGGCTAAGACACGGACAAAAATATTTTCTCACATTGTAAAGGTACTTATTATACAAAACAGTAGTTACATCACAAATTAAAAGCAAGGTAAAAAGGAAAACATTTTCCCAGGAATGGGTTAAATTATATCAACAAGTCCATGATTTTGGTAAAAAGTAAATATTCTTTTTACTGTACAGAGCCATTTTTTTTTGTGGTAAAGTGGCAATATCTCTGTATAGGCCTCATCTAGTCATTGATTAAATTGATTAATAGTTTAGATAAAATAATGAGCTAACTTTTATTGAAAACTTAGTATGTGTTAAGGGCTATTCCAAGAACTTTAGATTTATTATCATATTAATTTATCTTTACAACCCAGTGTAGTAGGCACTATTATTATTCATTTTGCAGATGGGGAAACTACGGCTCAGTGGGGTTAAATAATATTTCCTAGATCACACAGCTAATAAAATTGAAACAACCTGGTTTCAGATACATGAACTCTTGAAATTAACTCCTTCAAGCCCATGTTCTATCAGATACATTTTGAAAGGCCATGCTCAGAAAATTCATTGGTGGTGGAAGAATTAAGTCTACTCTGACCATATTTTTTAAAGGAAAACTTAGGACACATAGTTTGACCAACAGCAACGTGCTCTGTATGGCATATAGCAGCCACTCAATAATTTCACTGGGTCATCAGGGAAGGATGTTTGAAATCGGAGTTTTCCTGGAAAATCTTGGAAGGTCTGGTATTGTATACATGCCCTTCAAGGTGATAACCATAGAACTTATGCATAAGATGCATATTTGATAATCCTCCTTGCTATGGCCTGAATATTTGTGGCCCTCCAAAATTCATATGTTGAAACTTAATCCTCAACGTGATAGTATTAAGAGCTGAGGCTTTTTGGGAAGGGACTAAGTCATACGACCTCCACCCTCATAAGTGGGATCAGTATTGTTATGAAAGAGGTTAAAGGGAGCTCCTTGGCCTCTTCTGCCATGTAAGGACATGGCAATAAGGCATCATCTGTGGAGTAGAGAGAGAGTCTTCACCAGATGCAAAATCTACTGGTGCATTGATCTTGGACTTCCCAGCCTCCAGAACCATGAGAGATAAATTTCTGTTATTTATAAATTACCCAGTATAAAATATTTGGCTATAGTGACCTGAACAAACTAAGACATTCCTTTAGAATGAAAGAAGTTTTTATATTCTTTTTCAAAGGGTATTGGCATTTAGCTAGTCATTCATCTACAACTTAATGATTTAATCTTTTTTTGACTTGGTTGTAATATTTGATCTTCTGGTAATTTGTGAACTGCTGGAATGCTTAACTTTGCGGTAGAGGAGGAAGCATAAAATAGTCTTTGTATTATTTATAATTATCCTTAATCTAGGCTTGATGGAACAGTGTGGTATATTTTGACTGTTCCATTGGGATAAGTTGCTGGAGTTTTTCTTTAAGTGAAATACTGTAGACTGGGTTGCTATTTAGCAACCAAACATATAATCAAAGCAATGGGAAGGTTGGGGGTAGAGAAATTCTTGCACTTTTAATTTGTTTATAAAAATAAGGCAAACATTTCAAGAAGAAACATTGTCCAGTTCCAAACTCCAACAGAGGTTACATCTTCCTAAATCACTTCTTTGGAAAATTCATATCGTCCTGCTCTACCCAGCATCAATATTGGTGAGTTTGCAGTGTGGAAATTTTAGGCTTTTGTAGAAATCAGGGCTTCACACAAAAGAGGAGAAAGACAGTAGAAACAAAAGTTGTGTCTGGCCTGTTATTCCTGCAGACCCTCAACTCCTGATGTCATGAATCTTAAGGGAGTATTTTAAAAACAAATTATAAAGTATAAATTAGCTTAGCATCATGTTGTACACCATAAATATATAAAGTTTTTATTTGTCAATTTCAAAATGAATAAAGACAGTGAAACAATACAAAATGTATAACATAGTTTAACTTACTTGGAAGTTATCTTCAGCAACAGCAGGAATACAGTAAGAGTAGTATTGTAAAATAGGAAGTCTCAAATAATTTATGTTGTGGTGAGTCTGAAATAATTTAGGAGTAAAAATATCCTTACAAACATTAGGATGGGTGAGGTAACCCAGAGGTGAGGAGTGATATATGTATATCCCACTGTTTTACCCAGTTGATTCAATATTCCCAGTGACATTTATGTTTAGAATTTGCATTATGTAATTTTATAACAAGTTCTGAATGAAGGTGAGTACTAGGATTATGGAGACATGACAAGCAGGTATTGTAAAGACAATTTACTTTTTTTCAGGTCACTCTCCTATGTGTGTGACGGATGTAATGCTGAGTCAGTTGTATATTTAATTGTTGGATTTACAATCTTTCTTTAAAATGCCACCTGAATGTAGAGGTAAGTTTGTCACCATCAAAGACTAAAACTAGCAAAAATAAGCATATAAGATATTCTTAGAAGCAAAGTAGCCGGGGAGATAAGAGCATGGACTGGGTTTCTGCTGTATGTGTTCGGATTCAGGCTCTGTTGCTTATAGCTGTTTGGACCTCAGAAATTTACTTAACCATTTTGTGCCTCAGTTTCTATTTGTAAAATGAAGACAACGTACAGTATTTTCTTCATAGGTCTGTGGTGAAGATTAATTAAGATAACACAAGTCAAGTTCTTAGAACACTATCTAGAACATGGTATATGTAAGTGCCAGCTATTTATATTTTCTACAAAACTGTTCCCTGTTGAGCAAATAGTTTGCAGGTATGTAATTAATGGAGGCAATCAGGAAAGGGTCCCACTCTAATTGAGGTATCTGAGCTGCTTCTTCAGAAGCTGAAAAAAGAACCATAATCTAATTGATGTTATTGGACCCTGACTGATTAAAAATGTGTCAATGCGAGACTAAGGTAGGCCAGGGGAGACAAAGAGTGAGACTTTATCAGGGCTGACTTAGAGGTGGCCTACATTGAGGGTGCTGGGCAAACTGGTTCCCTTGTCAGATTCAAGCCCATTGTGGAGTGGAGACAAACAGGATGACATGACTCCTGAACTAGTCTAAACCTTTTTGCACCTCCTCCACACTTGTTCTCCAGGCCCTATTCTGAGGGGAGTTTAGTTTCTCATGTGCTAGGGAGAGAACAGACTGGCCATCCAACCTGAGTATTACAATGTTCTTGGTCTCTATATTTCTTGTTGTAATTCTTTCTATCTGCATTTTGGGTTTATATCAGGTTCTTAAAGGTTTTATCTAGAAAGGCAATATAACATATTGTGCAGAAGTTCTCAAATTTGAATTCATAAAACAATCACATGAGAAATTTTTTTTTTTTTGAGTCAGAGTCTTGCTCTGTCACCCAGGCTGGAGTGCAGTGGCATGATCTCAGCTCACTGCAACCTCGGCCTCCCAGGTTCAAGCAATTCTTCTGCCTCAGCCTCCTGAGTAGCTGGGACTACAGGTGTGCATCACCACATCCGGCTAAGTTTTGTATTTTTAGTAGACATGGGGTTTCACCATATTGGCTGGGCTGGTCTCGAACTCCTGACCTTGTGATCCACCTGCCTTGGCCTCCCAAAGTGCTGGGATTACAGGCATGAGCCACTGTGCCTGGCAGAATTTTTTTTTTAAATCTAAATTCCTACTCCCAGTTCTCCCTACCACGCATGCACACACAGGTGCTGATTTAGAAGGTCTGACCTAGGGTCCAGAAGCCAACATTATCCACAGGCACCTTAAGTGAGTCTGATGTAGGTGGTCTTCGGATCACACTTTGCACTGAGATATTGAGGACAATTGGCTTTATAATTAGAGAGAACAGGATTTGAAACAGGTTTGGATCATAATCTCGGTAGACAATCCTGGGCTCCATAACCCCGAATGTTTAAATCCCAAAATATCAAAATTCCTAAAGTCTAAGTCTTTAAAATATAAAATCTCTAACATCTAAAATCCTGAACATCACAATCATAGGATAGGTACATCATGTTAGACAGAACAATTATTTTCTTATTGTCTTCATCTGGAAATTAAGTATGGTTTAAGGAGATACGTATGGGTGCAAACTTAAAAAGGGGTGGAGTGTGAACTTAATTGTAGGTGTCAACTTGACTGGATAAAGGAGTAACTAGAGAGCCAATAAAGCATTATTTTAGATGTGTCTGTGAGGGTGTGTGTATTAGTCTGTTCTCATGCTGCTAATAAAGACATACTCAGGACTGGGTAATTTATTTAAAAAAAGAGGTTTAATTGACTCACAGTTTTGCATGGCTGGGGAGGCCTCAGGAAACTTACAATCATGGCAGAAGGTGAAGGGGAAGCAAACTTGGACCCTTTCACATGGTGGCAGGAGAGAGAGTGTGAGGAGCAAAGGGGGAAGAGCCCCTTATCAAACCATTGGATCTTAGGAGAACTCACTCACTATCATGAGAACAGCATGGGGGAAACTGCCCCCGTGCGTCAATCACCTCCAACCATTTCTCTCCCTAGACATGTGGAGATTATGGGGATTAAAATTCAAGATGAGATTTGGGTAGGGACACAGAGCCAGGTTATATCAATGTGTCCAGAAGAGGTTAGTACAGAAGTCTGAGTGGACTGGGTGGGAAAGATCTGCCCTCAATATTGGCACCATCCAGTCAGTCAGGGGCCCAGAGAGAATGAATACAGAAGGCAAATTTGTCTTTCTCTGAGAGCTGGACCATATTTTCTTCTGCTGTCTTGAACACCAGAACCCCAGGCTCACTGGCCTTTGGACTTCATGACCGCCCCGACCCTGGGGGGGTCTTTGGACTTTCAGCTTTGGACTAAGTTAAACCATCAGCTTCTCTGGTTCTCAGCGTTAAAATGTTGCAACTTTCTTAATAAATGAAGAAATGTCCTTTTTGTACATCTGCATTCATGAAAGATAGAATTTCTTGAGCTCTCAGCTGTTTGGGAAACTGCATATGCAGTGGTGATCCATTGTAGTTTTTGACCAATCTTGTCAAAAGACAAGTTGTCCATGGAGGTATTTCAGGTGACTGCAGTTATGAAGCTGGGGTCACACGATTATCAATCATAGTGGTATGTGTTTATATATTTAGCTTTGTGACTTATTATTTCATTATGAGTATGGCTCATCTGCTCATCATTGTTCTGCCCATGTGAGTGTCATTAGTGTACTTGAGTGTTTATGCTTGCAAAATATGTATTGCATATTTTATTGTGTAAATTGTCCTATGAAATGTCCTGTTGTGTTTTTACATGTTTCTCAAATATATCCTCATTAAAAATGTAAATGAATGTCTTTAAAATAATTTTTAAATTATTTTTTCTAGAATTATATTTTCAGGATTTTAGACTTTAGATCCAAATTTTCATATTTGGGATTTCAGCATTCAGGTTTATAGCATTTGGGATTGTATATTTTGGGATTATAATCAGTTACCTTTGAAACCAAACTCTGCCTCTTTCTAAAGTCTGGATGATTTTGGGTGAATGACTCAACATTTCTGAACTTCACTTTTCTCACCTTTTAAGATGGGAATATGATGCTCTGATGAGTATCAAAAAACATACTGTAGGAAAAGTGCTGAACACAGTTTTTGTGTGGCAGTTACTGTTATTATTTAATCAAAGTGTGGTAGGCTCTCTGAGCCTATTCATTTAAAAGAGAAATGAAACACTTACTAAAATGCTCACAACTATGAATATTCACGACTGGACCATAGAAGATAATGACTCCTCCAGGAGACTGCAGGCTTCAGAAGCTTTTCTGGGAATTTCTTCAAAGCACTTAACCCACAGTGGGTGCTAAATAGACAGCAAGTCCCTTTTCTGCCACATAAACTGGTAGCATTTTTTTTGAGATCTTTTTCATATATTATTTGTTTCAGAAAATTTCTAAGGTGCCCAAGCAAAGTTCCAAAGCACACACTGATACATCACACTTCTTTTCTGGCTGGGACGAATTACCGAAAAGTTAAAATACTTCTCTTTATTGAATCCCTGAATCTTACGCAGCTTTTAAAAATGAAAACCACAGCCTTGTGATGCTTATTTATGTTACAGAGGTTTTGAGCTGAAAATGATCCTCAATATCATCTGAAAACCCCATTGTCTCAGCCCAAAATCTCCTTAAGCTGATAAGCAACTTCAGCAAAGTCTCAGGATACAAAATCAATGTACAAAAATCACAAGCATTCTTATACACCAATAACAGACAAACAGAGAGCCAAATCATGAGTGAACTCCCATTCACAATTGCTTCAAAGAGAATAAAATACTTAGGAATCCAACTTACAAGGGACGTGAAGGACCTCTTCAAGGAGAACTACAAACCACTGCTCAATGAAATAAATGAGGATACAAACAAATGGAAGAACATTCCATGCTCATGGGTAGCAAGAATCAATATCATGAAAATGGCCATAATGCCCAAGGTAATTTATAGATTCAATGCCATCCCCATCAAGCAACCAATGACTTTCTTCACAGAATTGGAAAAAAACTACTTTAAACTTCATATGGAACCAAAAAAGAGCCTGCATCGCCAAGTCAATCCTAAGCCAAAAGAACAAAGCTGGAGGCATCATGCTACCTGACTTCAAACTATACTACAAGGCTACAGTAACCAAAACAGCATGGTACTGGTACCAAAACAGAGATGTAGATCAATGGAACAGAACAGAGACCTCAGAAATAATGCCACATATCTACAACTATCTGATCTTTGAGAAACCTGAGAAAAACAAGCAATAGGGAAAGGATTCCCTATTTAATAAATGGTGCTGGGAAAACTGGCTAGCCATATGTAGAAAGCTGAAACTGGATCCCTTCCTTACACCTTATACAAAAATTAATTCAAGATGGATTAAAGACTTAAACGTTAGACCTAAAACCATAAAAACCCTAGAAGAAAACCTGGGCATTACCATTCAGGACATAGGCATGGGCAAGGACTTCATGTCTAAAACACCAAAAGCAATGGCAACAAAAGACAAAATTGACAAATGGGATCTAATTAAACTAAAGAGCTTCTGCACAGCAAAAGAAACTACCGTCAGAGTGAACAGGCAACCTACAAAATGGAGAGAATTTTCGCAACCTACTCATCTGACAAAGGGCTAATATCCAGAATCTACACTGAACTCAAACAAATTTACAAGAAAAAAACAAACAACCCCATCAAAAAGTGGGCAAAGGATATGAACAGGTGCTTCTCAAAAGAAGACATTTATGCAGCCAAAAGACACATGAAAAAAATGCTCATCATCACTGGCCATCAGAGAAATGCAAATCAAAACCACAATGAGATACCATCTCACACCAGTTAGAATGGCAATCATTAAAAAGTCAGGAAACAACAGGTGCTAGAGAGGATGTGGAGAAATAGGAACACTTTTACACTGTTGGTGGGACTGTAAACTAGTTCAACCATTGTGGAAGTCAGTGTGGCGATTCCTCAGGGATCTAGAACTAGAAATACCATTTGACCCAGCCATCCCATTACTGGGTATATACCCAAAGGACTATAAATCATGCTGCTATAAAGACACATGCACATGTATGTTTATTGCGGCATTATTCACAATAGCCAGGACTTGGAACCAACCAAAATGTCCAATAATGGTAGACTGGATTAAGAAAATGTGGCACATATACACCATGGAATACTATGCAGCCATAAAAAATGATGAGTTCATGTCCTTTGTAGGGACATGGATGAAATTGGAAATCATCATTCTCAGTAAACTATCGCAAGAACAAAAAACCAAACACTGCATATTCTCACTCATAGATGGGAATTGAACAATGAGAACAGATGGACACAGGAAGGGGAATACCACACTCTGGGGACTGTTGTGGGGTGTGGGGAGGGGGGAGGGGGGAGGGATAGCATTGGGAGATATACCTAATGCTAAATGATGAGTTAATGGGTGCAGCACACCAGCATGGCACATATATACATATGTAACTAACCTGCACATTGTGCACATGTACCCTAAAACTTAAAGTATATATAAAAAAAAATCTGAACCAGATCTTGTCTAACGTAATGATAAAGAAACTGAGTCCTGGAGGTGCTCATGAACTGGTCTCCATTTCTGTTTCTTCTCTCTTCTGTTACTCCTTTTATGCATTTTTGACATGGTGCTCTAGATAGAGGGGTCACAGCTGCTCAGAGTGCTCTATTGTAAGCATGGTTCAGGAGTGGCAGGTTTCATGTAAGTTGGATTCTGTTCACTGGTAGGAGATCAATGTGTGAGTGGCTTCAGACGGCTTTGCTTTGCTTTCCAGATGAAAACCTGACAGAGTCCAGGCACCTTGGATACCGCTGTGTGCTGACAAATGACTTGAAAAATGGGGGATGAGAGAGGGTGCTGGTGGGTGGGAGAAGGACCAATCTGCTCCTGGGAATACTTTAGACAAAAAAACTAAGGGCTACAAAGTGACTCTTGAGTATGTGACTTTTTAAAACCCTCATTTATTTTAACTGGAGCAGCTCTTTTCGTCATGAGTTGTTTTATATTTTACTTGATATGCAATGTCAACTACCATAGAATTGGTCTTGATCCTTCTTATTATAAAGGCTAAGTTAGAAATTAATTTCATTTTTAACAATGTATTGGGCAAGCTTATTATGGGAATAAGAGGAAGTGTACTTTGTCCACTCTTTATAGTACTTATTCTTCTTCCTCTGTATGATATTGGAATCTGAGTTATGTGCAGAAACATTTACACTTTAACCTTGGTTTGTACACAGAGAAAACCAAAATTCAGCTTTTTATCCCAGAAGTTAATTTTGCATTCCAAACTTTTAATAGGAGTGTTTTATATTCCTCTGGATAAATCTATTTGACCCTCACAATACATATTTATGTACTTAATTAGTAGACCCTGATTCTGTGATCACTTTTTTTTTCTTTTTGTCAAGACAGTGTCTTTTTACATTGCCCCGGCTGGTCTCAAACTCTCGGCCTCAAGCAATCTTCCTGTGTTGGTGTTGGGCTCCTAAAACACTGGGATTACAGGCATGAGCCACCATGCCTGACCTGTGACCACTTTTTAATATTCTATTGGAGCTAACTACCTTCCTGACAATTCCGGATGAGTTATGTTGGGTGTGTAACATTGGGAAATAGTATATGTATTTCTGACCCTTGATAATTAAAGAACAACAATAAAATGGTATCAGCAGAAAGAAACAAGAAAAAAGGAAAGGGAAGAAGGAAAAAACGAATGTAGAAAAAAGGAAGGAAAGGAAATAGGGAGAGAGGGAGGAAAAATACTGACTATAAGGAGAAATTCATTGTGTGGCTAGGTTAAGAGCCAACAGAAAGTAATGGGTTTCTATAAAAGTAAGAGGCTTAGGTAAATAGAGGAAGCTCATGAGAAAAGGCAAAAGCTCAATTTATGCTCATCTTTTGTTTTATGTTCCTGAGAATCAACACTCTATGCTACTAGAGATTTCTTCCCCATTGAAGTCTTTTATTGAGGCCCTGTCCACTATGTGATTATTCCTTGTTGTTCTGTTTCTCTACTCCTGGTAGAAACAAGAGGGTATTGAGGGATGTCTATGTTCAATTTGCTTAATTCAGTAACTTGCTGATAGAGATCAGGCGTGCGCTCTAGCCAAAAAGAGTGGAATCTGTAATCTTACATAGCAGACTAAAATCACCTCTTTTCTGTATATTGACTGTGTGATCTTGTGCAAGTTATAAAACGTCTCTGATTCTCACTTCCTTAATCTGCTTAATAGGGAAAATAATTAGTTTTTATAGAAGTGTGCTTGAGGGACGTTGTACCAGAGTGTGAGAGGCAGGTGTGAACATCTCTTCTAACTCCATGATCAGAGATGCCACATTCGTAGCTTTAAATAGAAATATTAGTAGTGAAAATATTTACACTACAGAAATTGGCAAAGACTTCAAATCAGGGTTTTTTTTCTTTTCAGAGATTGTTATTAAACATTTATTACCTCTTTGCTTATGTATGAAATGAGATAATAAGTAGGATTTTGCCAATTGTAGGGATGCAGTATATATTTTCCTTACTTCAGCCATCCCTATAGAATATTTGCATCTGAAAACCTTTGATTTTTATGCTTTTAAATAAAATAAAACAAATGACAATAAAATTTTACTTAGAAACTCAATTTCATATTACAATCTCTGTACTTTATGATATTTTATCTGGCTCAGTTCTTTTTTTCTCTCTATCTTTTGACACTACTCTGAAGAATTCAGAAGTTCCGTCACTTTTCTTGAATTTTTCTTACATGATGTCTAGTACAGTGTCCCATGAAGATAATTATTATATTGCATTTTGATGATGATTTTCAGTGTGAGCCTAGATTGTTCAATATTATCTTTAATGAACAGTGTTAAGAGTTAAAAGTTCAATGCAAAAATTATAATAGTTTTCACACATATTAAAGGTGGAAGAAAGTTTTCGTGAGGAAGATGATCTATGTGCTGATCTGCGGAATATGCTAAGATATCCCTGTGAGAAGGGCAAGACTAAAGAGTAAGACAGATGGGTCAGAGAGGACCGAATTGCTAGAGAAAGGGCAGAAACCTGGGATATAGCTGAAAAGCTTTGTGTCAGTGAGAAGTTTGAGGCACAGTTGGAAGAGCAGACAAAGACTACACCTTAAAAGGCCAACAGAGGAGTTTGTACTTCCTTTACCAGACAAGAAAAGGATGCTAGAGTATGAAATAATCAGAGGTACATTTTAGGAAGAATAATTAGGCAGTGTAAACTACGAATTGGGAGAGGAAGGATTGCAGAGTCATATATAAAGAGTATCAGCCTCCCTTAGCCTCAGTTTCCATACCTGGCAACTGTGAATAATAATGTTCTCTTCTAGGTTTATGATGATAATTAGATCAAGCCATGTCTATGGATGGACATGCCTCTGGCATAGAGTAGATATCAAGAGGGCTTTTCTCTCTTTCCAAATTGCTCTTAAATGAAGGGATTTTTAATTGAAGATTGCCTTGCCTAAAGAAAGGGAAATTTTAAATAATTTGACAAAATATAAAGTATACAAGATCCTTTTATAAAATATAAAATATAAAATATGGGAGCTGAGAACATATAACTGGATAGAAAAGATGCCAACAATCTATAGAGAAATTGATGTAAGCTGTTGTATATTTAAAAGATTTAAGAACAAGAGGAGAAAGATGTGTAGGAGGTGGACAAGCTATAGAAATACCATTGTAGGATGCAGGCTCTGATTCTCAGCATTCCAGTAATTAGCACATCTTGACAGGGTGAAAGCGGCCACCCAGTCTCTCTCTTTGAAGGGGCAGAGGTCATTGACAGCTGGTGCTTGGGCCTTTGGGGGAATATTCTGCTTGAGGCCAGCTGGGGGAAATAGATCCCCAGGAAGAGTGGTCACTCAATGATGAGAGCTCTGTTCCTCTTTCTTGTAAACAGTGAACACCCTTGAAGACCCATCTGCACTGTTGCAATACATTCTGCACCTGGGTTTTTGTTTTCTTTGCTGAAGAACAGTCGCCTGGTATGCATCAGGAGTTCCCATCTGTCTCACAGATAGTCATGGAGTTCTTGACTGCATGCATTTTGTCTGAGAATAAGTGGTTCAGTTCATTCCTACTCTAAAACAAAATCTCACCCTGGTCCCAAATCTCAATATTATAAATATTTCAGTGGCAGAATCTGGTTGTAGCAGAAAATGAAAAAATCATATACCTACACAAGACTTAGAAATGGTATCCTTCTTGCTTCGTCATTTAATTAAAGTCTACTACTTCTTCAGACTTCGATTTCAGAATTTTTGGTAAACTGTAGTCTAGGTAAACTGTTTTGGTAAACAGTGTCTAGGAAAACAATATTCCTCTGAAAATTCTAAAACACTTTACATTTGTCACTTGGTGAGAAATGCTGAAATTTGCATTTTAAAATAAAAAAAAATAGAGTGCCAAAAAGTAAAATATTTTCCAATATCCCTTTTAAAAGCCAGAGAAACAAAAGGCAGATAAGTCATGACTCCATAAGCTTTCAAATTCTAATTCTGTCTACTTCTATTTACATTGTCTCTCTGAAGTTTGTACCTGCATGGTTTTGTTGCATACAGAGCATTATACCTTGCCCCAAAGGCATCAACATTTGATTGAGGCATGCACTTTTGCCCTTTCCTCAAGAGAGAGCCAAAGACGTTTCTTGCCATCCCTAGAAACTCTGTCTAGTAACTTATGATGAAAATCTGCCCTGCCCTAATCTTTGGAAGTAGCTAAGCAAAGCTGGGTCCCCTGTTTAGAGCTAAGAAAAATACAATCTAAGGAGAGTTAAGTTGTCTTAACAAACAATAGACTCCAGAAAGTTTTGCTAAACTTGACCACTAGGTGGCAAACTGTCTGGACATAAAAAAGCTGATTCCTGTTCTTTCTTCCTGGTTCTAACAGCATTGGCAGTCGTACAATGTAGAAATCTGATTGAGCATCCTCAGCCATGACACAGTGACTCAAAGTACCTATCCACAGTGAAGGGGGTGTCATTGAAACACTGTTCTAATCAGGTTTGACATATATTGCCCAGTGTGCTTAGATGAACAAAGTAATTACGCGAAGACATAAATGATAGACCTATATATGCTTTACGTAGAATTTTACGTAGTTTGCCTTCTCTCCAAGTATTTTTACTCTAAAAATGGGGAATAATATGCACTTCACAGTATTGCCATGAGGGTAAAATAAAATAACCCTTGAAGGGTTACCTGGTACATACCAGTTCCTCAATAAATATTTGTTAAATATTTGTTCAAAGAATGACTGGATCAGTCAATAAACAAAATAGAAGCAGATATAGGCTTCCCTAAAATGCCTTTACTTGAAGACTACCTTGCCTAAAGAAAGGGAAATTTTAAATGTGCTGTCAAGAAAATAAAGTATACAAGATCCTTTTATAAAATACAAAAATATTTATAGTTTAAAATACACTCTTAAAAAGTTTCTGCTAAAAGGTGACTCACTGTCTGGAAATACTACTAGAAAAGGCTAGGTTATCCCTCCAGGTCTTGGACAAAGGTCTATTGTAAATGTAAGGGGCTGTGGTAATTTGCTCTTACATTTTTTTTTTGTCTTTGAACTATTAGTTTTGTTTGTTTGTTTGTTTGTTCGGTTTTTTTCAGAACACTGGTTGCAGATTGTGAAAAACGAAGTGTAGAATGCTCAGTAGTGTCTAGCTGTTATATAAAAATAAAACTATGGATAATTGGAAGTAGTGTAAATCCATGTCTGAGTATTTTGAACTATTAAATAAGTAGTTTCCATGCTTAAGATAGCTTCCCCAGGCCACATGTGAATGTCAGCCAACCAGCCTCCAGGATTCACATGGTAAGAGGCTTTCATTCTATCATAAGAAAAGCTATATAAATGGAAACAGTAGGACACATACTGAACATGCATTCTTTAGAAACACATTTTCTAAACTCAGTCATGTTCACATACTTACATTTCACTAAGAAAAGTCATTAAAACAAAACAAACTTCTGTACAACATTGTCCCATGTATCTTCACTCTGCAATTTCATTCATTACAGAGAGGGTGCCATTGCAGTATCACTTTTCATGTATTTCAAAGCAATCTCTTAAAATACCTCTCAAGTGAGTCCAAGTAGACATATTTTGGTTTGTTTCTTTGATGACATTTTCCTTTGTTTACCTAACTGCATTTATATACCACCTTATCTATATTTCTCTATGCACCATCCTCGTAAAGTTGGTTCATCATGAAGATGAAGATGCTGAGACTCTGAGGGGTCATTTTGTCTTCAGCCACATAGCTATTATTACTCAGCAATATCAGGATTTTGATCTGAGTCTGCTGATGACAAGTTTAGTACTAACACCACAAGATCTGTGTGGGTCTAGGAAACTGAATAGGGATATGAATTAAATGAGTTTTGGCTATAAAGAGAACTGTTGCTGAAGTCGTATGCTGAATCTAACTACAGATGATAAGAAAAAAAACAAACAAACAAACCAAAAAAATAACAACAGATACTAGGCAGGTTGGGACAAGAAAAAAAAAAGATAGATATTTGGAATAAGATATGAAACAGGAAAAATAGAAGAAAAAATGGAAGGATGTCGGGAGAAGAAAAAGTCACATACGGATTTTCAGATCACTACTCTGGTATCCACCTCGCCCTCTTTCACATCCATAGATCACATAATACATTTATTGTTTCTGCCCTGTGTTTCCAGAGAATATTGTATCTCTCCAATTACTACACTCATCATGTTTTAATTACTATTTAGTCATTTTCCCTGTTATTTAGTAAGCCTCATGGAGGTTGTGTTATCTTTTCATACCTTTGAGCCTGTTACATAATATGTGCTCACTAGATATGTTTTGAACACATTAATTAATAAATAGGGAACAGTATGATATCTCAGACTGCTTGGTTACTACTAAGTTTTGCCCACACCTATTTTATGGGCAAGAAATCTTGAAGCTGGACAATTCACAACTGCAGAGACATGGAATCAATCTAAGTGCCTCTCAATCAATGAGTGGATAAAGAAAATGTGATATAAGTATACCATGGAGTATTACTCGACCATGAACAAGAATGAAATAATGTCTTTTGCAGCAACTTGGATGTAACTGGAAGCCATTATTCCTGAAGTAACTCAGGAATGGAAAACCAAATACTTCATGTTCTCACTTATAAGTGGGAGCTAAGTTATGAGGAAGCAGAGTGGTAAGACATTGGAGACTCAGAGAGGAGAGAGTGGAAGAGGGGTAGGGGATGAAATATAATACTATCTACTGGGTACAATATACACTATTTGGGTGACAGGTACACTAAACCCTTGGACTTCACCACTATGCAATTCATCTGTGTCATCAAAAGCCACTTGTATTGCTAAAGCTAGTGGAATAAAAATAAATAAGTAATAGGACAACACAACAAAAATGAAATCTTGAAGCTGGAAGGATGGCTTGAAAGTGAATTTAAAATGTTTGGATCCTTAAAGAGCTGCTTATTGGGACTGACTAAATATTTGCATCATTAGAATGTGATGTATATTAAACTCCTTTAATGAACAGACAGGATAAATTCCTCATTATTGAATTTTGGAATTTTCTGAATAATCACTGATTGTACTCTGTTTCTTTATGGTAGAGTTTTAATTTTACATAATTGAACATGACTCATGATGTACTCATATTAGAAAGTGAGTCTATTTCATAATACTGAATCTCTTTGGCAGTGGAAAGCTTATTTCTTCTTTATTAATTTGATTAGGAAGCCCCCGACTATTCTTCTATAATAATAATGGCTCTAATGTTTTTGATCTGTGTCTGAGGTCATTTATACTGCAAGAGCTTTTATGCATATTTTCTAATTTTTCACTTCCTGAGTTTTAGGACATCTATTAAAATATTATGTAATTAAATTTAAGAAAAGGGAAGGAAAAACGTGTCTCCCTGGGGAGAAAAATAATTTCCTTAATTGAGTTTTTAAAAATAAATACTTGAATTTTATAGAACCCTAGAACAATTCTTTAAGGGCTTCTTCCTCTTCCTACTAGTTAAATCTTACTTAAGCTGGAAAACAGGTGCGTGTTTTTAGACCAAAGAAAAATCATAAAATGCAAATATTCAACTAATTCTATGTGCTAATATTTTTGACTAAACATGTAATATGGATAATGTTATGAACATCAAACTCAAACATGTAGCTGTTTTGTTTTTCTAAAGCTTAGGCCATCTTTAACATTCCTGAGTTTCTGAGACACTAATCATATTTATCTGCTGAATAGTCCCGAAGTGTTTCTAGCTAATGAATAAGTTTTTAAATTAGAAGAAGTCTGAATTGATAAAAGCTGGATGTATTTGTCCATGTGTGTTTATGTGTCTTACTCTTTGACAATACATTTTGAATGACTAGAATGCTCTTCAATGGTCATTTTGATTGTGTATATTAACATGGCTCTCTCTACGTGGAGGCAGGGTGATTGCTAGGCTAGGATAGAGTCTGGGACTTCTAAAGAGAAAGCAACATTTTATAAATAAGATTATTTGGTTTAGTGTATTTTCTTTTATATGATGTATCAAATTTGGTCTTGTGTTATTTCTTTTTTTTTCTCTTCTCCTTCTCCACTTCCCACCCTTCTTTCTTCTTTTTGCCATCTCCAAGAATTTAGTAAAGTATTTTAATACTGCAATTTTACTGCTGTCTACATGTATTTAGTCAAGTCTGTTTAATGAGTTGGCTTATTCCCAACCAGGCTAAGAGCAACCAAGGGAAGTCATGAATGCACACTGAGTTGACATGGATAAGGAGAGAGCAGTATCCCTTGAGGCTGCTGAACTCAAGCAGCCATAATTGACAACCATTTTCCCATATGAAGGGTTAATCTCAGGAGAATAAAAACCAAGGCTACAATTCCTAGTCACTGCTTTCCCTGGGATGAGTCTTTTTGTATCTTCAGCCTTGAAAAATTTTAGTTTATATTTAGGAAATAGAGACAGTAGTCCCATAGCCAGGTACTGAGCTAACAGTTGGAGCATATATAAAGAAGAACAAAGTATGGTACCCAAATTTAAGGAATTTGAAATAAGAAAAAATATGAATATTTGTATTATGTTATAATTTACAAGGCACTTTACCACATAATTTTGTATGGATTATGTGATTACTATCTGAATTTTACAAATGAAGACATCTTTTGTCCTGGGTGATAAAGGTAGAAGGCAACAGGTAACAGTCTGGGTGATAGAGGTAGAAGAAATTCGTTGTTTTGTTCTAACTTCACAGAAAATGTTCTTTAAACTATTGTATCATGTAGTGTTTTCTTTTTGTCTTTTCCTTAAAATTTCCAATTTATGAAATATTTAAATAGACACAAAGTTCAGGAAACTTTATGTATACATATACATATATATACATGCTACTACAAAGAAAAAGAAAATGTTAATTTTCCCCCTATATTTGTTTCAGGCTTTTTTTTCAAAAACCCTTGTTTTTGAAAAAATACATTTACATTGTTCAAAAACCTAAATAATATAAACAAATATACACTCGAAAGCATTGTTCTAACTTCCCTCTACATCATACTCACATGCTATAGGTAAGCACTTCTATTCGCTCCTGTTTTCTTGGTTTCTTGTTCCAGCAAAGAACATCTACTAACATCTTAATGGCAGGGCTACACTGATTACAAATACAAACAGATCTTGGACATTACACTGTGAGACAGATAATAAAGAGACATACAAATAATGAAATTATTACAAATTGCAATAACTTCCTTGAACAGAATAATGGATTCTGAGAGGTCAGTAGCTCCCAAATCTGAATCAGCACCTGCGCCATCACTTAAAAAATATAATATGATCATACACTCACACTACAATGGTAAACTACATACTATGGAAAATCGTGAAGTAAAAAGAACATATATCCCCCAAATGCTTTTCTCCTGAGGTTGTGTGAATATGTACTGCTCAAGATATTTTATAAATAAATTCAAATATATATATACTAAAATGTTAAATATGACTTTTTCTTGTTTGCTCAGAATTTCTGCCAAGGTGCCAAAAGCCTAGAACAATACAATAGGTGCAAACTATGCCCCACATCATAAAGCATGGTACTCGATTTTCTATTCAGTGTGTACAAAAGCCATAAAGCTTTTTGGCTCCATTGGCCCTTTACCCATCATGGGCTACAAAAAAGAAATTTGGGGAGAATAACATTTTTGGAGGGGTGTTTTTCTGCTTTATGGATTTCTTTCCCCATTGAGAGGAACTTGGGGGATTGTTCTTCTTTGTATTAGCCCAAGTGAGAAAGGATGTTTCAAGAAAATTACTTTTCAAGAGAGTTACAATTATGTTGTCTGGAGTTTGGAAGACACAAGGATCAGTAGCTGACTCCTGTCTGCAAAATCAAGGGCAAGAGAATCTTGAGGGACAGAGCACATAGAGGGCTGCAAGTGCCTATTTTCTGAGAACAAAGACTAGAGGGGAGGGCAAATGCGGGTGAGAGAGGAGGCAGCCTATCAGGGATCATTTTAAAAGGAATCTTACCTAAGAGGCAGTCAGGAGGTGCTTATAACCCCAACTGAAGCTTGGACCCTCTGAGTCCCATGACTGGAGGAATGACCTAAACAGTCAGCCAGAGGAGTATGAGAAAGAGCACAGCAAGGGTGCATCCATCACAGTTGGGGAACCAACGCTAGGTTACAACTTCATCGGCCACCCAAGGCTATGTCCTTTCTCCCTAATCTCCTCTCCTTGCAGCCAAACCCTAGAAAGATAAGAAACAGCAACTATCAAGCAGGAGAGGTGTACTATAACAGCAAGAAAGAGTATACAAGAAACTATATTCTCCCTTATTCTAGGCTTCCAAGTTTGAAGCTAGCCATGGTCTTGGGGCTCGGGGAAGTGGGAGTTATCAAAAGTTTTTCACCAACATCTTATTTATGTTATAGTCATACTTATAGCTTGGTGTACAAATATTAGGGAGGGGTAGTTTTAAATCAATTTTTTTTTTATTATTATCCTTGACTAGTGTTGGTAAACTGAATCTTTCCCTCCAAACTCAGGTTTTTAGTGTTTGCCAATTTTCATGGTGTAAATACCCCCACCACAGTCCATATCAAGCTACCAAAGTTTTAACAACTACCTTGAAGAATCCCTGAATAGTAAACAAGTTTAAAATTTAACTGAGATGGTGTAAGCTAATTGAATTTGTTTTTGACTAAGCAAAGAACAGAAAAGCTATGGGATGATTTTCTCCTCCTGAAGTCTTAGGAAGGAGTTGGTGCTGGGGAGAAAACAGGCCCACTGAATCAGTTTAGCAGTGAGTGGTGAGAAAGGTTTATGTATTCATATTATTGCACTCGTCTCACTGAGTTTGAATATTTATGGAACGTGATGTTAAAAGGGATTTTTTCCTAAATGTTGGTAAAAGCTGAAAGCTAAAAACAGTAAGAGATAAGTATTACTGTATTCTAAAGAGAATTACCCGATTTATCTCCTCATTCTACATGGTGACCAAACTTGGTCAACCATGTGGTAATGGAAATGCGGTAATGAAAATCAGTGATTTCTTCCCACCTGGAGAATTCTGCAAGAGGGAAGTTAGCAGATTTAAGAAAGAAGGTTGCAGTTGGGTAAAATGTCCTTCCCTTCATTGGCAGGAAAATAAAATATGTCATTTCCTGAAGGGTAAATGGTATTTAGAACAGGATGTTGGTCTGAGACATCTTGAAAGGAACCCACCACAGGGGGCTGCCTGCCAGGCCATGACACCTCAAATGAAAAGGGCTATCTCATTATTTCTTTTTTTTCTGGTTTGGTACTGTATTTATTTTATTTCAATAGGTTTTTGGAGAACAGGTGGTGTTTTGTTACATGAACAAGTTCTTTAGTGGTGATTTCTGAGATTTTGGTACATCCATCACTCGAGCAGTGTACACTGTACCCAATGTGTGGTCTTTTATCCCTCACCCCACTCCCACCCTTTCCTGAGCCCCAAAGTGCATTGTATCATTCTTATGCCTTTGCATCCTTATAGCTTAATTCCCACTTATGAGTGAGAACATGCAATGTTCGGTTTTCCATTCCTGAGTTACTTCACTTAGAAGAATGGTCTCCAATTTCATCCAGGTTGCTACGAGTGCCATTATTTCATTCTTTTTTATGGCTGAGTAGTATTCCATGATATATATATATATACCACAATTTCTTTATCCATTCATTAACTGATGGACATTTGGGCTGGTTCCATACTTTGCCATTACAAATTGTGAAATTGTGCCACTATAAACATGGTTGTGCAAATATCTTTTCCATATATTACTTCTTTTCCTCTGGGTAGCTAGTCAGTAGTGGGATTGCTGGATCAAATGATAGTTCTACTTTTAGTTCTTTAAGGAATCTTCACATTGTTTTCCATGGTGGTTGTACTAGTTTACATTCCCATGCAGTGTAGAAGTGTTCCCTTTTCACTGTAACCATGCTAACATGTATTATTTTTTGATTTTTTGATTATGGCCATTCTTGCAGGAGTAAGGTGGTATTGCATTGTGGTTTTTATTTGAATTTCCCTGATATTAGTGATGTTGAGCATTTTTTTCACGTTTGTTGGCCATTTGCATATCTTCTTTTGAGAATTGTGTATTCACGTCCTTAGCCCACTTTTTGATGGGATTGTTTGTTTTTTTCTTGCTGATTTGTTTGAGTTTCTTGTAGACTCTGGATATTAGTCCTTTGTTGGCTATCTCATCATTTCTAACAGACATGTGTGAATGTGCCACCGTCTAGAGATTCGCATTAGAGCTAGGTGAAGTTGAGTATATGTATTTTTAAATGAATTTCCCAATTATGTGTAATATTACACCAAAAGTTTAGGATGCACTTGAATCTTAAATGACAATCTAAACATTTTTCCTTGATCACCTACCTGAGTATTCCTATTGCTGCCTCTCTACAAATATAACAAACAATTTGGAAATAGTAAACTATATAAGCTTTCTGGAAACTGAATATAGAAAATGCAAATAGGAATATACTTGCAATTGTAGAAAAGATTTATTTCTCTTGCTGCTCAAAATGTGTATATTTTATTTCTTCCTTATTTCCACACATCATCTTCCCTTTCCATCTTAATACCAAATTCTAGCCAGCTGACTCTGTTAAGCTCATCTATTTCCTCTCAAATGCTTAACCTGGTGTTCGGTTACCCCAAACAGATCTCTGCAATAAAGATTCCACAAGTTTCCCAATTTGGGGGACGGTAAAACATATTCACACCCAGACCAAATTCAGTTCAGAATATGTTAATCAGATATAGCTCTTGCAGAAGTATTGCTATTCACACTTTCTAATGGAACAGAAATGATTTGAATGTGTTCAGATTTCAATTTCACTATAAGAAAACTTAACCTAGCCCTTGATCTTCTGGAGTTAATTTACTATGTGTATTGTCTCTATCATTAAAGATAATATGATTGACCTGTTGCAAGTGTTTGGCTAGGTTGACTGGCAGGTTCAGCCAAGTTGCCTTTTCTATTTTCTATGGGCACAAACACCAAAAAGGCTTAGAAAGCCAGATACCAAATGGAATTTCAGAGATGAAGCTTTGTTTTGCAAACCCTATGTAAGATTCCCCCGACATAGGGAAGTAGACAATAGCCCATTTAGAATATTGCCATCAAGTGTCCAAATGATATATTTCAGGTCCACCTATCACACACCAAAAGACCACATGGATTACCAGTTTACCAAAGATGTACAAATCTGAGTGCCCTCAAAACACAAAGTATTATTCTGTATATGGTCGACCTTTGTGCTGAAAAACAAAGAACATTTTGCTAGTCTGTGGCCTTGACCACTCAGAAGCAGTAATTTACAAAACTGAGATTTAGGTTATGGATGTAGTCAGAATTGACTCAGCCTCTAAGTTACTTGAACTTTCCCGGGCATCATTTTTTTTTCTAATTTTATGAGTATTAGAGGATGGAATATGCAAACATACTCAAAAGAGTACCTTAATACAGTAGGTATTTAGCAAATATTACTGTCTTTTCCTTTTGTTCACTAAAAATATATAGAAGCTACTCCCAAAGGGGATACAAAAGCTGCTTTCATAAACCTTGTTGTGTATTAATTTCATGTTTGGACAAATGGAGAAAACATTTTTAGTGCAAAATCATACTAAGTTATAAGATTTTAGCTCTTGGATAAATTCAATGGATTCCATGAAGCTGCAAATGCTGGGCTAATAGGTACAAGTCAACAATAAAAACCAAGCTTTCCCCCTACTTCCTCCACAATTAACTGTTGTTCCACTGTTAATAGGTTCAATATTGTTTAATGCCATCATCACTTTCCTAGTTTCCCAGGCTAAAGATCACTAGGTCATTTGCTATTTCTTCTTTCCCCATAACGAATAGGTCTCTAAATCACACTAATTGTACTTCCAAGATATTCCTCACATTTGTTTCCTTCTTTTAGACCTCTCTCACTGCCTTGCAATTTTTTGCATGAATTATTGCATTGCCCCCTAAGTGACCCTCCCAGCCTCTCATCTCTTCAGTCCAATTTATCCGTTACATTGAGCAATCTAATCATATCACTGAGCTGCTCAAAAACTCGCCAAGCCTCTCTTGTTCTCTATTCCCTCATTTAATCTAATCTAAAACTAAAATGCTCTTTCTTTCATTTTGTCTGATCTAAATCCTATTGATACTTCAACAATTTTTGTTTTTCTAGGTTTGTCAAAAAAAAAAATACAAATGCATGGGGAGAGTGCACAAGGCCTTTCATGATCTAGTCATTGTGCACCTCTCCTTCTTGATGTCTCACCATTCACATCTTACCAAAGACATCTTGCTGCAGCAGGTCTAATCTACTTAGAGTTCCTTAGCCATGTCCTGTTCTCTCCATGATTCTTCATTTATTATACCTGTCTCATCTTTACCTAGCTATTTCATTTTCCTTCTTCAGGACCCACCTCAGGGATTACCACATCCAAAAAGTTTTCTGAATGCTTCTTCTTTAGGTTATCAAATAATCTTGTGAAAACTCTGTCTTATTATTTTCCCTACTTAATTAAAATAACGATTATCTATTCCTACCACCATATTCTCACTTCTCAGAAATTAATAGATGTTCTCAGGGACAGTTGAATTTACCAAAAGTTAAATAACTGAAAACAAATAATTGAAATCCAGTTAAACCCTTTGTGAATTAACCAACTATGAATTGTCTTAGTGCTTAAGTTTCTTATTTTATTTTGACATCCCCAATTTTTAGTCTAGTGCCCAAGCGAGTAGACATTCAATAAATGATCTCCTAAATAAAACTTAATTACTGCTCCTTTTATGTCCCCAGATTTTGTTAGTCCTAGAAACAGTGATTTTCTTTTTCAAAAAAGTGCTATTTTTCAACAGTGCCATTTTAGAAGTGGTGTCAGTATTCTGTAGGAATAATGAAGATATTTTGCAAGTCATGAAGGAGATTCTCTTTTCTAAAAATATTGAGCCAGTTTCCTTATCTCTTTTCTTTGTAAATGACTCCCACTTTAGCCCATTTAGTTCACATTTTATTTGGCTAAAATGTTGCCAAACCCAAGAGGACATTCTGAGAACTTTCATGTGGTTATCATTTCTTGAAAAATCATTCTCTTGTCATCCATATGTTTGACACATTTGTTTCACTCTGTCCTCTGCCTAGAGCTCTGAGATGATATTGTTGAGAGAAAACAGAATTGTCATTTTCAAAATATGAAAAATAACCAAATCAGAGAATAAAGAAAGAAACACTGGCATAGCATTAAACCACCGTATCAACATAGGGAAATGTTCAGACTACAAGAATATTCATGGTCTAGTTGACTACCTATAGTGTTTATTGCATTGTATGCTATAGAGTGACCCAGATGATATTGTTTTATCAGATGAGTTTATTATGACTACCTTCTAAGACCATAATATAATATTCAGTACCACTAAGGTAATTCAATAAAACTAATAACTAAAAATCAAAAGTGTTTTATTTAAACCAGATCAGAGATACCAGGTCTTCTTTAAACTGGTCAACAGGAAATATCATAAATAAAATTTAAAAATTTCTTGAGTATTTACTCAGTGCCATGACCTGAAGTCAGTGCTTTAGGAATTCAAAGATGAAAGTCAAGATTCTTGTTCTTGTAAAACTTTTGAATTTAATAAAGATAAAGCAACATTTCTGCAAAGAAGGTAGAAGGACATAAAACCAAATTAAGAGATACATACAATGGCCAAGAAAGCACCTAAGAGAAAAGTGACTGATATCCAACTACAGAAATTAGAGAGGACCACGTGGAGGAGGTGATAATGAATTTTGAACTTGAAGGACAACTAGAATTCCAGCAAATGAAGATGAAGAGAAGCACATTTCAGACAAAAGGCACGAAAAGACACAGTGGTGAAAAAGTTAAGGACCAGTTTGGGGAATGACTTATAGACATTTCTTAGGTGTGTAGTGGTGAAGGAAAATAGTGGAAGATGTCTGCAATAAAATTATAAAATCTTTTGTATGTAAACTTGAGTCATTTGAACTATATTTGGTAGGCAAAATGTTGCTGTGAAGAATTTTGAGTTGGAGTAGGGTTGATCAGATATGTTCTTAAATTGATTAACCTAGCAGCACATGAGTGTTAATTTTCTATTGTTACTGTAACAAATTACCACAAACTTAAAACAACACAAGTTAATCAGCTTATAGTTCTGTAGATCAGAAGTCTGATGCAGGTCTCACTGGACTAAAATCAAGGTGTCAGCAGGGCTATGTTCCTTTCTGCAGGCTGTAGAAGAAAATCTGTTTTTTTGTCTTTTCCTTGCCAGAGTTGAGAGGCTGCCTCTATTCCTAATATTGATCTCTTTTTGGTTGTGAGCCATTTTAAATTAAACAAAATTTTCTTCCTTAAAAATGGACTCTTGTGTTCTTTAAAAACAAACACTATTAAAATAAGAATCAACAGTGATAAAAACTGGGAGAGCCAAAGAAAAATGTAAAAGCTGGTAGTATGCATTGATCTATTTTCCAAAGTGTAAGAATAGAGCAGGCTGGGAGCAGTGGCTCATGCCTGTAATCCCAGCGCTTTGGGAGGCCGAGGTGGATGGATCACGAGGTCAGGAGTTCAAGACCAGCCTGGCCAATATGGTGGAACACTGTCTCTACTAAAAACACAAAAATTAGCTGGGTGTAGTGGTGTGTGCCAGTAGTCCCAGCTACTTGGGAGGCTGAGGCAGAGGAATCGCTTAAACCGGGGAGGCAGAGGTTGCAGGGAGCCAAGATGGTGCCACTGCACTCCAGCCTGGGTGACACTCAAAAAAAAAAAAAAAAAAAAAAAAAAAAGAGAGAGAATAGAGCAAATGAAATGCTAGAGAAATCACCTTCTCAGCTAAATATATTCCTAGGTATTTTTCTCTGGCAGCTATTGCAAATGGGATTGCAATGGCTTTCTTGATTTGCTTCCCCACTTGATCACTATTGGTGTATAGAAATGCTACTGATTTTTGTATGTTGATTTTGTATCCTGAAACTTCACTATCAAATTTAAGAGGTTTTTGGAGGAATCTTGAGAGTTTTGTAAGTAGAAGATCATATTGTCAGTGAACAGAAGTTTGACCATGTAGGAATAAGTGAAAGTAAAGCGAAGGCTAATTCAAGAGTAACATCAGTTACCAGGTGTCTATTTATGCAAGTTTTGATAGGCTGCTGGAGGCTGAAATCCATCAATGAGAAATTGCTCAATAATTTTATGTTCATTTCAATGAGAACACTTGGACACAGGAAGGGGAACATCACACACCTGGGCCTGTTGTGGGGTTGGGGGAGGGGGGAGGGATAGCATTAGGAGATATACCTAATGTAAATGACGACTTAATGGGTGCAGCACACCAACATGGCACATGTATACATATGTAACAAACCTGCACGTTGTGCACATGTACCCTAGAACTTAAAGTATAATAAAAAAAGAGAAAAAATAATTTTATGTTCATTTGCTCGTTATCATTAATTAATAACTAAATCCCTTATTACTATTTATGTAACTTATAACTTAAAATCTTTAAGGAGGCTGTTAATAAATGCTATCACACTAGGGTGCCTTGATGCAGCTTTTCTTAACCCTACAAACACTAAAGAACTAGATCAAACTTGGGAAGAAACTTCTACTAATTAAGGACTAATTAAGTGGATTGAGAATCATAATTTGTTTTGTTATCAAGAGCAAGCTTGCCGAACTGAAGAAAGAAATGAGGTGCTTCATGCATCCACTAAGATACCCTTTTGGCAATGGGTATAATAGTGGATACCCCAAAATAGTTTGCAGACATTTTTGGCTGTCACACTGTCACAGTTGTGATGTCATTGCTACTAGCTAGAGGCCAGGGATGTTGCTGAACATCCTGCAATGTACAAGACATCCTCCCTCCCCCAGCTTACAACAAAGAATTACCAGCCTAAAATGTCAATAGTGCTCATTTGGGAAATGCTGATTTACACTAACAAGAGAGCTGAACAGGAATTTCTCTACTTCCTTGTCCTCTCTTCCCCTCACTTTTATTTTTAGAATAATGTTATCATTTGTCCAAACGAAGCATTTCTTGAAACATAAAGGAGAGCTGTTCCGGCTGAAATTGCTCAGGAGTCTTGAAGCTCATAGCTCTGCATCCCATCACCCTTTGAGAAGGCCCTTAAGGCTCTTAAACATGACCTCAGAGCTCTGAAGAATACAATTTAAAATGTACTGCTCTCTAACATGGGTACCACTATTCTACCATTCCTCTTAAATTAACTGGACAGGAAGAGGAAGGGGTCCTTGAAGTGCTATGCACGTGCTGGGGGGTACTAAACCCTTGGTCAGAGTGATCTTGATAAAGTGCATGGTAGAAATAAAAATTTTCATTATATCCATTGGCATTTGGTATGATGAGCATAGAAGAGAGTTCCTACCTCAGCCCAAGAGAGCTGCACTATATAAATGATTTCTAAGGACAGTTGCATGCATTTTGCTGTAGTTGTGAAATAGATATGAGTAGAGAATTTAAGCAGCATCTGAGAGCAGATGAGTTGGGACAATAGAAATTTCACTATATTCTCTGGTAACAGGTGCAATACATGATATCTAGATACATTTTACTTCATTTGGAAGCTGCTTTATTTCAGAAGCTAAAATTCTTTGAATATTTACTATGTGGAAGGTATTATTCTAAATGCTTACCTTGGTTGTCTATTTTATCCTTATATACTCTTTTGGAATTTAAGAAATAATATTAAAGATAATACAAAAATTATTGTGTGAACTATGAAAAAATTAACGAACATGAACTTGCTCTAAAAGATATTAAAATATATTGAAAGATAAAAGAAATTAAGACATTTGGTGATGACCCAGCAAGACACGATCTAGGGACACTAGAAATAAACTGAAAAAAAGAGGGAGAGGATTTACTAAGACAAATATGGGATTTCAAATAATGGAGTAAAAATGGATTCTTTTGAAAAATGATATTGGAATGAATTAATAGTTATTTGAGAAAAATATTAAATTTCTGCATCTTTCCTTTCATCAAAAATAAATCACAAGTGAACAAAAATGTACATCTAAATATGACAACAAAATTATTAGAAAACAATTTTAAAAGTTATCATTTTTGAGTGGGGAAGTCTTTCTGCCATGAAATACAAAAGCTATAAATAAAACTATAATTGAACTTAACTACTTACAAATAAATTCTTTTGCACAATAGAAGTTACCATAGAACATTAAAAACCAATAAATCAACCAAGAAAAATATTTGGATTTTATGTTTCAGAAAAAAATATTTTCATGTGTCTCAAACTTTTACAAATCAATTAAAAAATGAAGAACACAAAATAAGAAATAGATAAAAATGCAAAAAAGTATAAAGATGTTCAATAAACGTGAAAATATGCGCAAACTCACAATTAAAGAAATACAACCGAAAACTACAATGGAATACAAATGCTTATCTACTAGAGAAGCAAACAATGAAAAGATCACGGGGACCCATTATCAATGAGGGGAAAGGTACACCTAAATGTACTGTCTCTACTAAAATACAAAAATTAGCCAGGCATAGTGGCAGGTGCCTGTAATCCCAGCTACTAGGGAGGCTGAGGAAGAGGAATTACTTGAACCCAGGAGGCGGAGGTTGCAGTGAGCCGAGATCGCACCACTGCACTCCAGCCTGGGTGACAGAGCGAGACTCCCTCGAAAAAAGAAAAGAAAAGAAAAGAAGTATATATACACACACACACACACACATATATATACACACACATATATACATGTACACAGACATATATATATATATGTATATACACTGTAGAATTATGAATTGATGAAACTTTTGGGATGGCAATTTGATATTTGTCAACATTTAAACACACTTGCCTTTTGACCCAGTAGTTTCCTCTTTACTAATTTCTCTCACACATATACTCAGTTCATTGCCGAAAACTACTTGAAAAAAAATGTTAACAAAAATAGCTTGTAACAACAAATGCTTAAACATCATCAATACCCGACTGCTTAAAAACGTTATGATAGTTTCTGGCTGGGCGCGATGGCTCACGCCTGTAATCCCAGAACTTTGGGAGGCTGAGGCGGGCTGATCACGAGGTCAGGAGATCATGACCATTCTGGCTAACACGGTGAAACCCTGTCTCTACTAAAAATACAAAAAAATTAGCCGGGCATGGTGGCGGGCGCCTGTAGTCCCAGCTACTCGGGAGGCTGAGGCAGGAGAATGGCGTGAACCGGGGTGGTGGAGATTGCAGTGAGCCGAGATCATGCCACTGCACTCCAGCCTGGGCGACAGAGCGAGACTCCGTCTCAAAAAAACAAAACAAAACAAAAACGTTATGGTAGTTTCATACATTGAAATGGCATGCAGTTCTTAGGAAGAGTGAAATATGTTCATGTTCACTGAGTCAAGACTCAATAAATATTTGCTAAGGTGAGCGCATCATCCTCATTCTAAGTGTGCAGCAATGAGAAACAGCAGTTAGCAATGATCTCAGGTATTTAAAACAGGAACATAAAATTACTACTCTCACACATACAAGTGCACTCACAGTTTTTTGGAAAGAGAGACAAGAAACTGTTAGGAGTGGTGTCTTACCTGGAGTGGAACGTGCATGAGGAATCAGGGCCACATCTAGGGTGAGGTGAGCAGGGCACCAAGGTACAAATTTGAGGTAGGGCTCTGAGATTGTCTCCTTAAATTTTGTGCCCTAAGCACCTCATGTGCCTCACTCTACTCCTGGACTGTGAGGGAGAAGACTTTACTTTCATTTTTATATTTTGCAATTCTATTTGAATTATTTGCCAAGAAAATGTAAATGTTATTTTGGAATTAAAAAGAGAAGAAATTACTTCATAAAATTAGAATTTAAGAATAGGGAATCAAGCAAAACTACCATAAATATCACTACAAAACTGATTTCAAATTCAATAAGTATTATTGAAAGAAGAAATGTATTAAAAATAAAAACAACCCCTCCAGATTATAAGAATAAGATGGGCCTCATTTATCAGATGAATAAACACAGAAATAAAGCAGTTGTGGTATTTAAAGTTTCAGAAAAAAACAGGATTCAAGTGAAAATGGAAAATTTAAGGTTTTTTTAAAAAAGTAATGGTACAACTCACGCTGACAATGCCCATGAAGAATAGCAAAAGAAAGGGCTTCAAAATCAATTAAGCAAAGATTGTTGGATTTGAAAAGAGTAATAAATACTTTTTTTGATAGAAAACTTGGCCATGTCTCTAGTAAATTTTGATGAGCCAAAATAAATACATACATACATATGTACATATATACACATATATACATAAGAGACATAGTTATTTAGATGATATGTTAATGAAGTTTAGGTACATAATAAACCAGAAAATATGCACATTTTTTCAACCATCTGTGGAAGATTAATTTGAAAACCAAAACTAATCTTAAATTAAGGTACAAAGTAAATATCAATAAAATCTTAAAAAGTGTAAAGGCTAGATTCTTTTACCACAATACAATAAAATAGAAATCATGTTCACAAGCTTAGATAAAAGCAATGGGAATTACTTTGAAATTAAAAGAAATTCAACAAAAATCTTGGATAAAAATCTGCAAGTATGGAGTATTTATAAAATGAGAAAAATGAGAACATTAATTATCAAAATTTGTGGATTTTGGCCAAAGCTGTACTCAGAAAGAAATATTTTGTGTTAAATGGTCTTATTATTTTTCAAAAGAGAGATAAAAATAAATCACTAATAACAACTTAAGAAGTTGGGAAAAACAACAAAAATATATCTAAAAAAAGGCATAAAGGAAGTAATGAAAAGACTAGATAAACAGAATCAGAATCAATTAAAATAAAGTGGTAAGTTCTTTAAAATCAAATCTTATATAAACAAATTATAACAAAGGATACAATACAAATTTTATTTTATTTATTTATTAAGATTTTATTTTAGGTTCAGGGTATATGTGCAGGTTTGTTATATAGGTAAATTGCGTGTCACAGGGGTTTGGCGTACAGATTATTTTGTCACTTAGGTTATAAGCAGAGTACTCAATAAGTAGTTTTTTTATTCCCTCCCTCTTTCTACCTTCTATCCTCAAGTACACATGCGTCCATGTGTACTCAATGTTTAGCTCCTACTTATAAGTGAGAACATAAAGTATTTGGTTTTCTGTTCCTGCATTAATTTGCTCAGAGTAATGGCCTCCAGTTCCATCCATGTTCCTGCAAGGGACATGATCTCATTTTTTTAATGGCTGCATAGTATTCCATGGTGTATATGTACCACATTTTCTTTATCTTATCTATGGTTGAAGGGGAATTAAGGTTGATTCCATGTCTTTGCTATTGTGAATAGTGCTGAAATAAACATACACATGCATGTGTCTTCAAAGTAGAAAGACAGGTATATACCCAAAAATGAGATTCCTTGGTTGAATGGTACTTCTATTTTAAGTTCTTTGAGAAATTACTACACTGATTTTGACAATGGCTGAACTAATTCACATTCCCACCAGCAGTGTGTAAGTGTCCTCTTTTCTCTGCAACCTCACCAGCATCTGTTATTTTTTGACTTTATAGTAATAGCCATTCTCACTGGTGTGAGATGGTATCTCACTATGGTTTTGATTTGCATTTCTCTAATGGTTAGGGATGTTGAGCATTTTTTTTCATATGATTGTTGGCTGCATGTATGTTTTCTTTTGAAAAGTTTCTGTTCATGTTCTTTACCTACTTTTTAATGGGGTTTTTACTTATTAATTTAAATTCATTATAGAGTCTGGATATTAGAACTTTGTTGCATGCACAGGTTGCAAATATTTTCTTCCATTCTGTCGGTTATCTGTTTACTCTGTTGATAATCTTATTTGCAATTTTTGTTTTTATTGCAATGGCTTTTGGCACCTTCATCATGAAATCTTTCCCAAGGCCTATGTCCAGAATGGTATTTCTTAGAGATAAAATACATATTTTTAAAATAGGGATTAGAAATTTGATACCATGAAAAGTACAGGGGGAATATATTATAAAATATATTTTATACAATTCTATAAAAATACATTATAAAATTTCAAATAAGTAGGTTATTTTTGAGAAAAATTAATGTTCAAAATTGGCTTAAGAAATAGAAAATATAAATTTCTATCAAATAAAAATAATTTTTTTCTGAAAAGCTTTGAATCCATATGGCTTTACTTTTGAAGGTTATGTCAAGCTTAAAAAAACAGATAATGCAAATTCTGCATAAATACTTTTCTATAATATGGAAAAAACCAATTTAATATTGATCTTTAAATAAATCCATTAACCATAGCATTAAAAAACTATATATGAAGAGACAAGCTACAGACTGGAAAAAACATTTGTAAAACACATTTGATGAAGGACTCATATCCAAAACATGCAAAGAAACTCTTAAAACTTAACAACAACAAACAATTAAGAAGTGGGCAAAGACATGAAGAGATACCTCACCAAGGAAGACACAGAGATGGCAAATAAGTATATGAAAACATGCTCAACACCATATATCTTCAGGAAATTGCAAATTAAAACAACAATAAGATGCTACTACACAACTATGAGAATGGCTAAAATTCAAAAACACTGACAATACTAAGTGCCGATCAGAATGTGGGGCAACAGGAACTCTCATTCATTAATGGTGGGAGTGCAAAATAGTATAGTTACTTTGTGAGACAATTTGTCAGTTTCTTACAAAGCTAACTCATATGATCCAGCAATCATGCTCCTAGATATTTACCCAAATGAATTGAAAACTTATGTCCATAAAAACTCTGGACAGAAATGTTTATAGCAGTTTTATTGATAATTGTCAAAACCTGGGAACAACCAAGATTTCCTTCCATTAGTGAATGAATAAACAGACTGTCATACATCCATACAAGGGAATATGATTCAGTGATTAAAAAAAGAAATGAGCTATCACGCCATGAAAAGTTACAGAGGAAACTTAAATGCATATTGCTAAGTGAAAGATGCCATATACGATTCCATCTGTATGACATTCTAGAAAAGGCAAAACTAAAAAGGCAGTAAAAACATTAGAGGTTCCTACAGGTTTAAGAGGGTAAGGAGGGAAGAATGAGTAGGTGGAGCAAAAGTGATTTTTAGGGCAGTGAAACTGTTTTGTATGATAGTGTAATGGTGGATACAAAACAGCATGTATTTGTTAAAATCAACAGAAATGGGCCAGGTGTGCTGGCACATGCCTGTAGTCCTAGCTACTTGGGAGAATAAGGCAGAAGGATCGCTTGAGCCCAGGAGTTCAAGGTTACAGTGAGCTATGATTGTGCCACTGCACTCCAGCCTGGGCAACGGAGTAAACCCTGTCTCTGAAAAAAAGATAAAAAAGAAAAAAACAATAAAACCTATAGAACTGAACAACCCAAAGAGTGATCCCTAATGTAGACTATGGACTTTAGTTAACATTTTTCAATACTGGTTCATCAGTTATAACAAATATACCACACTTGTGCAAGTTGCTAACACTGGAGGAATCTGTGTGAATATGTAATGGAGAAAAGGCATATGGAAACTAACTATCTGTACTTTGTGCTCAATTATTTTGTAAACCTAAAACTGATATAAAAAATAAGTCTGTAAATTTTAAAAATTACATGAAATTCAATATTCAGTGTCTATAAATCAAGTGTTACTGGCCAGGAGGGAAAGAAAAATCTATACACATAGAAAGTGTTCCCATAAGAAGAGTTGCAAAACTTCCAAATAATATACAAGCACACCAATTTGAGAGATGTATTGAATAAATCATTCAAGATGCATTTTAACTGAAATACATCTTAAAATTTATATATGAAGCATACCATATAACTTAATTTTATTTATAAAAATAGTTTTCATTGATTAACAAAATTGCATTTGGAATAAAACATTGACACTCCTTCCTGGTGAAATATCTAAAATAACTCAAAATAACTTAGGAAAGAAGTATCCTTCCCAGTAAAAATTTTAACATTAAATTGAGTCAACATTACACTTACTGAATTTTAGCAAAGTTTGTTTCAAAGTACAAGTTTCAAGCGATTTTATAGTAGATATTTCTCGCTACGTCTTTTCAACTCATGAAAATTTCCCTCTCTCTGGAAACTGCCCTTGACACACAGGGATAAACCTCTAGTTATTATGTCTAACCATCAACCCTGACCATTGCTGATTTATCCAAGACGGAAAACTGGATACTAGTGTGACCAATCAGGTTTCCTCTCCTGGAAATTCAAAATGTGGGATTTACATACACAGACTGGGGAGTAGTTGGAGCTGAGCTTTCTAACTGGCAGTGCTTGACAGAGAGGCTTCCTCAATTCCTCTGTATTCTTTCTTTCTCAAGTCTCAGTTTTCAATTCTGGATTCCTGTACCTTATCTCTGTTTCAATGTGTGAGATTTTTGTGTGTGTGTGTGGCTTGCAAGCAAACAAACAAAATCTCAAATAATGCAAAGCTGAGTCGAATGTTCCTTCTATGGGATTCTGGACTTGGGAAAAAGTGGTTGGGGTGGGGGGAAGGAGAGAAGAGGGAGGGATAGGGGCAGGGAGATAGGGAGAGGGAGAGGGAAAGAGTATGAGACTCTAGAATTGTTCAGAACATATTTTCCATGACAACAGAAGGTTGAGAGAAACACGAGGCTGTTTTCCAGAAAGAGTAAATTACGAATAGAGAAGAACTCAGGACTAATGATATAGACAAGGAGTTCTGCGTGTTCAAGTCTTTGATTGTGATTATTCCTGAAATACAAACATATTCTTTTCACACCTAACTTACTAGGCTAGTCTCTTCAGCTGGGGGAGTCTATAGATATATTTTAAAAAAAACAGCAAGGAGGAATCATAGATGTTTTGAATATGAAGTGACCTTTAGGAGCCAAAGTATGGAGAGATAAGGTAATGTGGCCAATTACCAACTCAGTTTAACAAACAGTCTGGTTCTTAATGTGCTTTATTCTTTATTGCATTGTTCCATTCTGTTGGCTAGCTCATTCTTAGGTCCTGTCTCTTTGGCCTACTGTTCTTTTCGCAGATTATCACGTACATTTCACATGTCCCCTTTCCTTGGTTCTGCATTCAACCATTAGCTTCAGGTTAAAATTACTTTCTTAGTGTACCTGAACTCATTCATAACGGTTCCCTAATTGCTCTCTCTTCTTTACTGGGTGGAAATCTCCTCAATAAGTTTCCGCAAAAGGAATTTCCAAGTTCCAATAGTTGCATTAATGTGACGTTAGAACTGTGACAACAGGACAAGGTAAGACTTGAGAGATATGCTCCATACAATCAGATGCCATTGAAATCTTTTATAGGAGTGTTGGCCGGCCAATAGAAAGAATATGAAAACAATTTAGAAATGGAATGACACCATGCATAGACTCACTGACTCTCAGTTAACCTCAGAGGGTGATAAAAACTCAAATCAGACAAGAGTATTAGATAATAAGAAATTTGAATCCAGGGCACTTAGACAACAAGACAACCTTAATTTAAAAGGCATGATATTGGAATCGTCAGAGGTTTAGACTTGGCTTAGCATGGGCCATGAGAGTCTAATCACGGGGAAGTGTCCTGGGTGTTTGTAGTCCACATGCTGTGCTATGGTCTGAATTGTCTGCCCAAAGTTCATATGTTGAAAACTATATGTTCATCTGTTAGAGATACGGCTTCTAAAGAGGTAATTAAGTTAACATGAAGCTATCATGGTAGAACCTAATCCAATCTGGCTGGTGTCCTTATAAGAAGAGCAAATTTGGGTACACAGAAAGATACCGCGGATGTGCTCAGAGAGGAAAGAGCATGTGAGGACATCTGGATGCTACGTTCCCCTGTTGCATCAGCCAGAGAAGGATGCCATCAGTGAGCCAAGAAGACAGGCTTTAGAAGAAACCAGACCTACTGACAATTGATTTGAGACTTCCAAACTCCAGAACTGTGAGAAAAGACATTTCTGTGTTTAAGTCACCCAGTCTGTGGGAGTTTGTTAGAGCAGACCTTGCAAACTAATACATCTTATAACCCAACTTAAATCTCCAGTTAGTATTTACTATCAGTAAATTCAATTCAGAGGCTAATATAAAAATTACTTGTGATAATATAATTGACTTTTTAGTGCTTTAAAACTTAGCATTAAATATAGGAATAAATTGTAAATATGTTTGATATTTGAAAAATTTTAAATATCTATTTAAAAATAAGTAGTTATGTTTTAGAGAAGCTGGCATATTAGAATATAGAATATCTAACAGATAAGCCTTGCTATTCCCATTTAAAGTGTGATAACTGAATAATTGATTAAGATATGATTTTAAGGTTAAATTTTATGCATTTATAAGCCATACTGGAATATTTTAGGCAAACATAAGGGTCATTATATTTATTTTATTAGATTTACAATAGTCATTTAAATGCATGGGAAGGCTTATTTTTAGGTAAAAATTTAAAATTCTTAGAAAATTAAATACAATAAAGTTTATAATTAAAATTTAAAATGTTCAAAGGAATTTAGTTAAACTATACAAGGACTCATAGAAGTGATTGTTAAAATTTGGTCAAATCTATAGATAGAATAATAAAATTTATACATTATAAAGTGTATGAAACTAGGGTTTTTAATTTATAAATTTAATAAGTCAAACATTCATTTGATCACGAAACATCTCAGACTAACAGAAAAGTTGTAAGTATACTACCAAGACCTTTTCCCATGAATTATTTATAAATACTCTACTGACATGATCCCCTTTGGACTCTCAAATGCTTCAGTGTAATTTCCTATATTTAAGAACATTCTACTACATAACCACAATATAATAATCAAAATCAGGAAATAAATCTAACCACAATACAATCATCAAAAAATTAAATTTTCACCAGTTGCCCCCAAATTCCCTTTATAGAATAAGGATCTACTTCAGAATCATGTGTTGTATTTGGTTGTCATGTCTTCCTCTCTATCCTTCTTCAGACTGGGACAGTTCTTCCTTTTTACCTTCACTGTCATGATCTTGACACTTTTAAAGATTACAGGCCAGTTATTTTGAATAACATCCCTGGATTTGGGTTTGCCTGAGTTTTCTTTTGATTAGATTCAGGTTATGCAACTTTGGAAGTACTATTACAAAGGGGATGCTATGTTCCCCTGTTGCATCAGATAAGTCTTGCTCTTCCAATTTAAAATGTCATATTTGACAAATTGATTGAGAGATGAATCTTATTTGCTAGGGCACATATTCATTTTGCTTCGTTACTGATGATATTTTCTTTGATCATTTGCTGAAAGTGGTGTCTGCCAGCTATCTCCATTGTTTTCTCTGTAATTAATAAATATTTTGTGGATACTATGTAAATATCCTCTTTCTTATCTTTCAATTTATTCATGTCTGTAGATCAGTATGGACTCATTGTTTCCTACTTTATCTCTGTAATTATCATCGTTTTGATGCCCTAATGGTCCCATATTTGGCCAGTGGGTACCCTTCACACTGAATTCTGTGATCCTTTTGATAAATCCCATTTGTTTTTTGAGAACTTTTTTACTTTCTGGCACAACAAGGTATTCCAGACTCTTGTATTTTCCCTGCTTCAGCCCCCAAATTAGTTGTTTTCTCAAGGATCCCCATCCCTGCTTTTTTTGGTGGAAAATGGTGTTAGGAATCTGAGATCTGGGCATTAGGTATGCTCACTGATATTGGTGGGTGGCTGCTCCTGGGCTCTTTCAGTGAACAGAGTGAGGGACTATACATGCACATATATATATTCCATATCTGTTCTATATATTGTATGAACTGAAAATTCTGAGATCACCCTGATATACCCAATTCCAATGTAACACCACTCCACTCAACCTGCTTGGAATCTGGCATATCGCGCCAAGCCATCAACTTCCCCGTGAATACACCCTTGCATTTGAACTGCGACTTCCTGCTTTGGGCTCTACCAACCCCACACCTGAGCAGATTTCCACCGGCTTGTCCCCACCTAATTCCCTCAGTACAAGGTTGTTTAAACATATCTCAAAATAATAAGAGCTATTTATGACAAACCCACCGCCAATATCATACTGAATGGGCAAAAACTGGAAGCATTCTCTTTGAAAACTGGCACAAGACAAGGATGCCTTCTCTCACCACTCTTATTCAACATAGTATTGGAAGTTCTGGCCAGGGCAATCAGGCAAGAGAAAGAAATAAAGGGTATTCAAATAGAAAGAGAGGAAGTCAAATTGTTTCTGTTTGCAGATGATATGATTGTATATTTAGAAAATCCCATTGTCTCAGCCCAAAATCTCCTTAAGCTGATAAACAACTTCAGCAAAGTCTCGGGATACAAAATCAATGTGCAAAAATCACAAGCATTGCTATACACCAATAACAGAGAGCCAAATCATGAGTGAACTCCCATTCACAATTGCTATGAAGAGAATAAAATACCTAGGAATACAACTTACAAGAGATGTGAAGGACCTCTTCAAAGACAACTACAAACCACTGCTCAAGGAAATAAGAGAGGACACAAATAAATGGAAAAACATTCCATGTTCATGGATAGGAAGAATCAATATCATGAAAATGGCCATACTGCCTAAAGCAATTTATAGATTCAATGCTATCCCCATCAAGCTCCTATAGACTTTTTTCACAGAATTGGAAAAAACTACTTTAAATTTCATATGGAACCAAAAAAGAGCCCGCATAGCCAAGACAATCCTAAGCAAAAAGAACAAAGCTGGAGGCATCACAATACCTGACTTCAAACTATACCGCATGTTCTCACTCATTAAGTGGGAGCTGAACAATGAGAACACACTGACACAGGGAGGGGAACATCACACATCAGGGTCTGTTGGGAGGTGGGGGGCTAGAGGAGGGATAGCATTAGGAGAAATACCTAATATAGATGATGGGTTGATGGGTGCAGCAAACTACCATGGCCCCTATACCTATGAAACAAAACTGCACGTTTTGCACATGTACCCTAGAACTTAAAGTATAATAATAATTTTTAAAAAATACATCAAAAATAATTAAAATATAAAATAAAAAATATTTTGAAACACTAAAAATAAAGGAATTAAATTGAATGGGAAAAAGAAGAGGAAGAACCAAATATTAATTTTTAATAAAAGTGGCCTTCAAATAATATCTTTTCTGCACAAAAGCCACCTGCAGGGCACATTAGGAAAAAGTGCTTATTTCTATCATCAAGTCTTGATTTTTCTAATATCTTCTAGTTTCCTTTAGATTTCATTTCCTCAGCTTCGCTGTTATAGGATTCATGTTATCCAAGCTTATATGCATATTAAACACGTTCATTCATTTTATACATCATTTCATGGGATATTGCAGATTTTACTTACTTGTTTAGTACTATCGAAAACCTTGTATGCCAATTTGGGACCCCTTAACAGTCAATATTCAATGATTTTAGCAGCCAGCACTGCCATATGGCAAAAGCTTGGTCCATTCGATTTAGCAATAGTGGGATCTGGAACTTTTTTTTTTTTTTTTTTAAATTCTGAGCTACATAATAGTCACCAATTTCTGTATCTTTGAAGTAGCACCAAAATTCTCTCCCATGAAATGTTGCAATCAGCTTAGAGGCTATCTGTATAATAAAAAGACAGTCAATATTACAGTTTTCTTTCTAACTTCTTTATTAACTTTATTGTTCTAATTTGCCTTCCAGCTACAGGGCTCATTTATTATTCTAATTTGCTCTGTCTACGGAATTTATTTAAATTTAGCAAATTATTAGGAAATTAACATGTTGGTACTTAAGTCTTCCTTCTGGAAATGTGGTCAAAAATGACAGCTTGTACGTAGAGTTCTGTCAGGATAGTGATTCTAGTAGAGTTGTCACCTGGCTGCGCCTAAAATACATAAATTACATTGTTAGTCAAGTCTATAAAAATACTTGGCCTTTTTTAAAATTTTTTTTTTATTTTTTTGCTTTATATTGCAGAAAAAAAAACTAGCAAGTTTGTTTCCACGGAGATATATACATGTTTTCCCCCTAGTCTTTTTCTCAGGAGTGAACATAATTCCAATTAGGAGCTTTGGAATTATGATTGGGTTGTGATATTGAAAATGCCCATGATCAAAGCAGTGACACAGGATCATGCTTGTCTAGACTCTGCTGAACCCCATGAGTCACTAACTTCAGAATTCCTAGCGAAAGGCTTTACAAACACATGTGACTTCAGGGTAATAATTCAAAAAGAATCCTATCTTGATTTCAAGTTTGTCAAATAAAATGTCTCAAGTCTGGGATTGATTTAGATCAGTGGAAGTGTCTGTCCATGGTGGGTTTTACATAAAGCATCTTTCTAATCACTTTAAAAACTACTTGATCTGCTTTTTTTTTCTTCCTTCAAATTATAACCTTTTAAAAGGATTTCATCTTTTTTAAAAAAAATTAGCATAGTTTACCATACTGATAGGCTTCTAGAAAGCCTCTATGGAAATAAGTATTTGCTAATGTGGTATTGATAAGGGAGAAGAAAGAAGTTTAGGTAAAGCTGATGCTCAGAGGAGAAAAAAAATGATTCTAAAAGAGTTGCACAGTATGTACAATTAGAAAATTTTAGTTACTAGGCCTTTTGTATATTTGATGTAGAAAAGAATGATATTATTTGCTCTCTCTTCTAAGAAGAGATAATTAGAAATTTAGAATTGAGGATAAAGAGAAGTTTTGGTATTGCCTTTTCCATATGGTACTTAATTTCTTGTGCTAAACAAAAAAGTGGGTGTCCTGACTGTGCCCCCATCTAAGTTAGTTTTGCTTTTTATTGTTTTTGTGTTATTTTACAACTCTTTTTTTAAATTTTATTTTATTATTATTATACTTTAAGTTTTAGGGTACATGTGCCCAATGTGCAGGTTAGTTACATATGTATACATGTGCCATGCTCTTTAAGTTGTATAAAACTGATAGTAATGGAAAATATCTTGCCCACAAAGATGCAAAATAATTGTGCCCAGTGGAATTCAATTAATCATTGCCCTGTATAGAGACCTATTTTGCAGCTATTTTTATTTCAATTTTCCTTATTCCCTATACAGATATGTTCTGCTCTTCGAATTCTCCTTTGAACTGGTTATAACATCTTACTGGTTTCTTCTATAATTAATGAATTAAATGAAATCTTTTGAAAATTTATGTTATAGCTGCATGAGAGTTATTTACACCCCTTTAAAAATTATCTTGTAAATATTTTGGAGGTTCTTCAGCCAATAGTCAGTGGATTCCTCTTATAGATGAATAACCTACATGGTGGAGAAAGTTGTACCCCTGGGGGCTTAAGCCCAGACTCCCAAAGGTAAATCCCCAGTAGCAATAGAAATTTAACTTTGCAGATCTTCCGTTTCTTTCTGTATTTTCCTTTTTGGCTATTTTTGTGTTTTGTTTTTGTCTTTGGAACTCTTACAATTGATATATTATTTCCTACTGGTGACAGCAGTGATTCAGAACATTGTGGGCTAGCCATTGTTATTTCTGTAAATGGATTAATGGATTAGAGAGATTTATTCCCCTTGTGTGACAGACAATAATCTTTTTTAAAGTATTTTATTTTTATTGGTTGTTATTTGTCTATTTTGAGCTCAAATTAAGACTCTTGCGCCCATCAGGAAAAAGTACAATGCTTTGATATATGAACTGGTGATTTTTCTGTGTTTACTTTTGATATGTGGTTAATACTTAGATCTGAAGTTATAAGCAGTCTTGTGTCTGTGTGTCTAGATGCTTATAATTTAGAAAGACCTTTATCTCTTTTTGGATGAGTGCATAATATTTTCCTCTCTCTGGAGGGTAATGAATTAGGTTAAAATGTCTCCTAAATTAAAGAATCTCTGTTCTGATTGGCCTATAGAGTTCTTATATAAATACATTCTTATATAAATCAAATAATCATAAAATTCCAAAAATTAGGAAATTAAAAGCTATAGTATTTTAAATTGTGCTATACTTAATAACTTATTTTTACAGAAACTCAGAAATGTTTTTAAAATTTAAGTTCACATAATCACAGTAAATCTTTGGTAAACAAGACTAATGTAATAATTTTGGTTCAAAATAAGCAGCTATATTCTATGATTTATCAGTGTTAGGTTTAATATAAACAACATTTTATTCTACTTGGGTTTGTTTTTCTTGAACTTACTTAGGTCTACTAACTAACAATATGCCTACACAATATTTTAGATAATGAAAACTATAAATTTATATTCAACTAAATTGAATCATTATTCAGACAACTTTATTTCAACAGTAATTGTGTTTTTTTTTTCTTTTAACAAGTCAGCTTGAATATAGGTCCCAAGATCCTTAGGCAACACATAACCTTAGACTGATATTAAGTTGAATTATACAATGAATACTCGCTTGATATATAGATGATTTCTAACTAAGATAGGAGACCAACAAATTTGATGCCTAATTATTAGGCGTAATTTTCAGTTTATATACTTTTGCTTATATCCTATAGAATGTGTTTGTTTTGAGTCCTGTTAATGAATGTATTAATTTTGTCTCTTTAAAAAGGTATGTGTGTGGCTATTGGAAGTTGCAACATAAACTTTGCTCATCTTTTAAAATGTTTGTGGAAGATTGGCAATTCTTAATTATCAGCCCCTAGTTTTCTTCTTGAAATAGAAGTTGCTTTGGTAAAAGTCCTTTTAATATGAATAGTTAAGACTACACTGTGAGAATAGGGACAGACTGACACCACTGTCTATGTCCTTTTGTGTTTCAAAGAGAAAATAATTTTGTCCTATTGTAGTGGTTTTGTAGTAGTATATAATAGTGGGGATATATAGAGTAGTGGTTTTCAGGCTTCCCTCCCTTGATTCTCCCAGTCTCAGAACCTCTGTACAATCTTGAGACTTACTAAGGACCCTAAAATCTTTCACTTATGTAGTTGATAACTGTTAATATTTTCCATATTGAAAGTTGAAATTGAGAACTTTAAAAATAGTTACTGCTTCATTTGATCATAGCAATGACAAACATATTGACGTTTTAACAGAAATAACATTTGAGGATTAATATAAAAATGGTTTTGTGCTCATGGATCCCCTGAAAATTGCAGTGACATGAAAAAGCAAAATGAAGAGTAAATTTTGGAAATATATTTTACCTGCCTTAATTCATAATACCTGAGTCTGAAAAGAAGCTATGAGATGTGCTACAATTTTAGTAAAATTTGCCCAATCTTGATGGGCTTGTTTTCTTAGCTTACTATTTGCCTACTAAATGAAAGGCTTTTTTTTTTTTAACTTCCTATGTAATCTGCCTAGATAGATAACAAAAATTTTGTCTTATAAAAATAATTTTCTGTGCTTTATATTGAATTTGTTACATCCCTGATTATTTAAGGAAAAGAATTCAAAGAACAGTTTCCTCACATATAAAGAGCTAAGGTTCTTTACAACCATGTTAATGTATATGTTTATTTTTTAATATTTTATTGTTTTAAGTATGTACTTATTGTTAACTCATTATTATTTCTCTGGTACCCTGATCTTATTTTAATCAAATGTCCAAATGTCCTCTATTATTTTTTTCTGATTTTTGCCATTCATAATTGGATCTTAAGTATAGAAAAATTAATAAAACAGTCAGGATATCTTTTACACTTAAAACTATCTCTGAGATTTCCCAGATGGCCCTTCAAAAATATCACAAAGAGTTATTCCTTTACCTTTGCAAAGAGGTGCTAAAAATAATTAGTTTTATTTGTGGAATTCCTTGGGAAGAATTTTCAAATCAGAAGAGATGCTCAGCCTTACTTATTTAAATTGAATAGGCATAATGTTATTAACAAAAATATTTCAGAAATTTTATATGCTTTATGAGAAGTTCCTAAATTTTTTTTTCATTGCCCTTTCTGCTTTACTTGTTTTTAACTTAAAGGAAAATAATGATTGTAATTCTTGGAAATATTTCCATCAGATTTTTCTATATTTATCAGAGTTGTAGCAGTGTTTTGCCTAATGACATTAGACAACAACAGTATGTTATCAGTCATAATTTCAGCTACTGTTTAAAAAATACAAATGTTTAGGCCTTATGTACACTTACTAAATTTCTTTACTTGGTTTCTTGTATTAGCAATTATGTTTTAGTGTTATCTATGTCTTATATCTATCTCAAGGCTTCTTCCTCTGTAAAATTATTTTCATCCATTTTTTGAATCAGATATATCATTCACAAACTTCTTTGAAAATAGATTTAATCACTATCCTTAGAGATGTTTGTCTAATTGTCTTTTGCAGTGGCTTTATTATCATTGTTTTGCATACCACAAAAAGAACTAAATTTCCTTGTCTGTTGCATTATTCTTACTATAAACTCTCACCAGACTGCTCACATTTGAAAATTATTAGTAATAAGTCCACAACAGTGATTTTAGGTCCCTGTAGTTTATTGATAGTACTGTTTTACTCTGCTGCTTCTCTGAAGTCTCTCTTCCAGGTTATAATCCAGAATTTATGTCTTCAACAAAGAACAGTCTTAGAACCTCATGGAAGATAACTACCAGGTACTTTAAGTATTGACACCTCAAAGCTGAGCTGACATTGGTTAGACAGCTTTCAGATTGCACCATGAGTGGACTGAGTCAGGATTTCCAGGACCCACTGTAGGCCAAAGCAGAGGGCTGCATATGATGCACAAGATTCAGCAGAGTAGGAATTAAAATTGTAATAAGACTGAATGCAGTAATGAGATAATTTTCTTATGGTTATTCATTTGGGATATTGTTGATATTGTCTTAACGTTTCATTTTTCAGATAAATAAGAACACCCTTTCTCCTTCTTCTTAAGAAATCTGTAACCCATAGAAATTTAGTAGAATCTACTTTATAAAATGGAAGGAAACATTTGAAAATGACATGTGATCTTATTTATTTCTCTAGGACTCAGAAATTCTTATTGAGTCTTTTTACTTTCCATGGCCATTTAGTGATCTGCATCAGTTCAGTAAGAAGTTGTCATCCTTTTTACCAGGATGTAATTGTACAAATTATAAAACCAAAGCCTTCCCCGTAATGTCATGTTTGAAAACAATGTTCATTGAATCACACAGAAACAGCTACTTTTAAGGAATTAAGTTCGACTTGACTTATGGAGGTAGTATTTACAAAGACCTTCTGTACAATCTGGTCTACTCCTTGGCTTTAATAGTCAAGAATATTGTATACTATGTATAAGTTATCTTAAGGTATTTGGGGACTTTTAGAAGAGAATAATTTACCCAAAGTTACAGGTTTTACAGGTGAAATCTTACGGACAGAGTTTCTTGGATTTAGTTTTCTAGCAGCAGGACGACAAATAATAGAGGGCCTTAAAAGTCCAATTTGAGATTCCTTATGAATACTTCCAGACAGAATTTAATTTAGTATTTGTTCAAAATTGTATAGCCTTAGAATTTACAATGCAAACTTAAGGTGACCTATATGGTAAAATAACACTTTTGAGATACCTATATAAACAGTAAGGCAAACCTAATAAGACTAGCTGCATTTTATGATCAAGAATAACCTTCCCGAAATTATTATGATAAAAAGAGGAAAGGAGACAGACTGCCAGGGAAACTTGTGAAAAACTTTGAAATGGGCAAAAAATCAAACAGTGGGTATCTTGATTACTCACTCATTTAGGTTTTCTCACTTATGATCTATATTACAATTCTGCAACTTTTAGAAATTTGATAATAATTCAAATAATTCTTGTCTGTAGTAATGCAAAATAGTTGTGTTCAGTGGAATACAATGCATTTTTGCATTGATGCTTTTTATTTATTTGCAAATTTATTTTAAAATCTGTTTATTCCTTTTTTATGTCTCTGCTCTTTGAATTCTCTGGAATCAGTTGTAATACCTTACTGGTCCCTCATTAATTAATGAGTTAAAAATCTTTGCCATATATTCACTCTATATCTGTGTGAGAATGATGATTCTATCTTCTTTTAAAAATTGTTTCTTAATAATGTATAAAAAGAGTGCTAAAAACCGTTACACATACACAACAGCAACAGCAAACGATGTAACTGGCTGAGAAAATTCAGCACTTAGAAAGCTCTTCCTTCAAATTCATGGCACTGTAAGGAGCTGTGAAAAGATTACTGCCTGAAACCCATTACTGGGTCCCAGGAGAGATGGGACTCCAAGCCAAGTATAAAATATGGGTAAAACAAGATACTGAAATAAGTCCAACAGTAAAAAGTTACTGAAAAATAATAACTGATGAAACAAAACAAGAAGATTCTAACCTTATTCTACCAAATCCCAGAAGAATTACAGATTTAAATGTATGAAAAGAACGATAAACAAATTTAGAAGAAAATATATGTAACTATTTTCCTGATTCTAGTATAGGAATCTTTTTAAATATAGAAGCAATGAAAGCTATCAGAAAGAGAAATCAGTAGTTAGGATCATAGAAAAATTTAAAAATTTTGCATGACAAAACAACTGTAAACTTTAAAAGAATATAAATTTTGGTATATCACTAAAAATATGATAGCCAAAAGTTTTCTACCCTCTACACATAGAATACTTTAAAAATTTATTTTAAAATTCCCATTAAAAACCTACAGGAAAGTAGGTAGACAGCAATAACAATTGTAGAGAAAAGGAGATTGGGCATGGTGGCTCAAGCCTATAATCCCATTAATTTGGGTGGCCAAGGCAGGAGGATCGCTTGAGGCCAGGAGTTGGAGACCAGCCCAGGCAACATACTGTCACTATAAAAAAAAAAAAAGAAAATCTTAGGCATGGTGATTAGTGCTTGTGGTCCCAGCTACGCCAGAGGCTAGAGAGGGGAAATGTGCCGGGGTGGAAGTGGGATCATATGAGCCCAGGACTTCTAGGCTACAGTGAGTTTATGATTGTGCCACTGGACTCCACACAGAGCAAGACACTGTCTCTAAAATAAATATATAAATAAGAATATTATATAGTAGCATGCATATAAAATAAATTTTCATTTCCAATAGTAATAAAAAATGACTGGAGCAAATAAAATGACTCCAAACAGATCTGGACTGTGAAATTAACAGTTAAAAAAGTATGCAAAATAAATAGGGCATGGGAAATGGGAAATTTTAAACAGCTCAGATATAATTGTAAATTGACATGGTCTAACTGCAAAGCAATTTGACAATATCTATCTAAAGCTTTACAAAATACATATATTTTGACTAAGCAGGTTCCATTTTAGAAATCTGTCCTAAGTGGGGGTAAAATCAGAAGCTTGTTTGTAGAGAGTTGTTAATTAAACCGGAGGGAAAGCAGAAACCAAACTAAATTTCCACAAGTGGGAAATTCTCATATCAATTATGAGTAATTCAAAGGATAGAATATTATGTACATTCTTTTTTTGAGATGAAGTCTCATTCTTTCCCCCAGGCTGGAGTGTAGTGGCACAATCTATCTCAGCTCACTGCAATCTCTGCCTCCCAGGTTCAAGTGATTTTTCTGCCTCAGCCTCCTGAGTATCTGGGATTATAGGTGCATGCCACCATGCCCAGCTAATTTTTGTATTTTTCTTTAGTAGAGATGGGGTTTCATGGCCAGGCTGGTCTCTAACTCTTGACATCAGGTGATCTGCCTGCCTCAGCCTCCCAAAGTGCTGAGATTACAGGCATGAGCCACCGCGCCTGGCCTAGCTACATTATTTTCAATTTGCTTTTTTCACTTAATAGTGTATCTTGAACATCTGCACTAATCCATCAACATCAGTAAATACAGCTTTAACTTTTTAAACTGCCACATACTATTTCTTTGTATGCATGTATCATAATTTATTTAACCATTGCCTGGTCATGAACATGCAGATTGTTTCCAGTTTTTAACTCTCGCAATGCAAAATGATTATTCTTTTAGAGTTTTCATGGTTTCTAAGGTAATACACTACTAGGAAGCAATTTTCATTCATTGAGCACCTACTCTGTGGCAGGCATTTTAAACATATTCTCTCATTTCATCTTCACAACAACTCTTTGTAAATGGCTATACATTTTTAGATTTTTACAGATGAGAAGACAGAGGTGAAGTGCTCAAAAGGGTGAAGTAATTTTCCCTAATCACAAAGCTGAAAAGATCTCTGTACCTTCAACTCATTCTAAGCATTGCTCCTCTTAAGAGCTTTGCCCTGCCTGAGCCCTGATGACCATTTCTCATTCCCTTCCAACTTGTTCTGCAGTTCTAGCTGCTTTCAACTGCTCCAAAGTATTTTAGAGAATCCTCAGGTCTTGGAGAATTCTCAAGTGGGATTTATTAAGGTACTCAAGCAGGTCTTTGAATAACCTAAAATACAATTATACTACTCTGTATATGGCCATGTGTGCGTTTTTTTTTTTTTTTTTTTTTTTTTTTTTTTTTTTTTGATGGAGTCTTGCTCTGTCACCCAGGCTGGAGTGCAGTGGCGCAATCTTGGCTCACTGCAAGCTCCGTCTCCTGGGTTCACGCCATTCTCCTGCCTCAGCCTCCCAAGTAGCTGGGACTGCAGGTGCCTGCCACCATGCCTGGCTAATTTTTTGTATTTTTTAGTAGAGACAGCGTTTCCCCTTGTTAGCCAGGATGGTCTCGATCACCTGACCTCGTGGTCCGCCCACCTCCGCCTCCTAAACTGCTGGGATTACAGGCATGAGCCACCATGCCCAGCCAAAACTTAACAGATTTTAAAAATAAGTTGTCCCCCCCGCATATTAAGAACCTATCCCCTTGGAGCAACCTCATATACTTATGAGGTAGTTTTCTGACCTGCCAAGTTGGGGCTGACATTTTTGTTCATTTAACTGTGTTTTTCTTTTCCACTCTTGCTTCAGCTATTTGAGAAAATGTATATATGTTCAGGGCCACCAATGTACATGCCAAAGATATCTCAGCCAGCAATAGCCACTTATAAGTTATCAACATGAGATTTTTCTTTCTTACTAATGGTCTTGGTCACTATTCATGCTATTGTATTCCATATTCTAATAAAATTCAACTCTCACTCTGCTTTGGGATTTCAATTTTTGAGAAATTATGAGTATTTGCTGGGAGTGGTGAATGGCTGAGAAAGAGTCATGGGAATTAACTACTTGTTCAACTGTTGAGACCCAGGAAAAAAACATGCTCTTTTTTTGAACTAGAAATAATCCCTCAACTGTGGTCTTGCACCTGCAATGACACCATGCCTGACTCATGTGTTTTCTGATGCCTGCTTCTGTGTTATTAGTTATCAGGTTTTTAAGATCATAGAGGAAACAATTATTTTGTTCTTATTCAATCATTCCATCTTGCCAGGAAATTAACTTCTACTCTCTTCCATACTTCTTGATTTGAGGTAATACATTTTGTGAGAAAGTGAGCGTGAACTGTGTCTAAAGCTCTCTTCCTCAAATCTCTCCATCCTTATATCCCTAGGCCATATGGGTCCCTTTTACTTTTGGCATCATGTTTGATTAGGTTGCTCTTGGAAATAAAAGCTTAAAACAATAATTTTTCTTTGTCATGTATGCTTTATTGGGATATGTACCTTTCTTTTCATTGCATATGTTCAGCTCAGATGATGGAGGCTTATCATTTATACTCTCTTATTACTAAACATTGACATATATATTTATGTATATACATAATTCAAAATTCAAAAAATATATATGTATTTTTTTCTTTCGTGTAGCTTACATTTCTTGTGTTACAGTTCATATATGAGTTCATGCACTGGACACTTATGAACAATGTGCTTATCTCTGGGGGTTGTTCCTTAAATACTGCATATAAAATTAAAGTCAGTTTTTCAGGTCAAGTGGAGGACATGACATTTAAGTTTTAGGAGTTTTAATTCATAAAAGCCAAGCTCTGTTATATAATTTTAATGTATTCCTCAAGGCCATTGATTTTAGCAGTAGTTAGTTGAGTAAATACTTAATTTATATGTGGTGGGCTTTCAGTTCAGATATACCAGGTGATTACCCAGAGGAGAAAATGTTTAAAAGCTACTTAGTATGTGGGTGTTTTAGGGCTATAATCAACCAAACATTCAGTAATTTGGGTAGCAAAACGAGAAAGTTGGCAAGGCCTCAGCTTTACTTAATAACTGTGACTGTGCCACAGTTAAAAAGCAACATTTATAAGAGGCCTCCAAGGAAAATACAGGGGCCAAAAAAGTGGTGTTGGTGATTCAGTAGATATCCCCTGCCCCACTGGCCCAATATTAATTTAGTCTTGTAGTGCAGTTTGCAGAAACATTTCTGAGACGTTGCGGAAGCCATAACCTTGTTTAAAACTTATTCTATTCAGCTTTTTGTTTGTTTGTTTTTCAAAAGGGATTATATATAGCTCCTCCTGTTAAAAGGCAGATTTTAAAACTGAGGACCTTCACTGAAGGGCGAGGTTCCAAGAGATTAAATTGGAACCATCTGCATATAGGACGTAGAAATGTTATGGGTCTCCGTTTTGAGAAGATCAATTTCAAGGCTATGACAGGTTAGGATTTTAGGATCTGGGAGGCAAGGGAAATGAAGAGAAGCCAACGACCTCAGAAGCAGAGGTGGCATTAAACAGGTAATGAACACCTTTCCTACTAATAGTAGCAAGTGCTTGCGTGGGGGTTGCCTGAGAGGGCAGAACAGAGGAGAGAGGAGCTCTGAGAAGATGTTGCTGGACTCTTCCTCTAAATTAAAAAAAAAATGCAAAAACAAAAACGGGTGATTTTATTAGTTGAATTTATTTTTAATTTTAAACCTTATGTGTCTAGTCTTTTGCTCAGAGAAAAAGAAAGAATTTGACATATTTGTTTTTAGCACCTGTACAATAATAGACAACAGTGACTACGCATTTATTTTTAAAAATAATAAAGTAATTGCTACTCTCATTTACCCATGCACCTAACACATTGCCGTTACCCTGGAAAAAATCACCATTTACTCTCGAAAGTTCCTCAAAGAACCCTGAGTGATAATTCATTTATCCACCTACCTAGGCAGAAAAGCACTAGAGTCAATTACTCTGGTAGTTTTTAGCTAAAAATAGCTTTAGCTCTACATATGTTTTCAGTGCCTAAGACCCTAAAATATTTTAAGTTAACCTCAATTTTTTTTAAGAATTATTTTTGGCCCTACCATTCATTTCTTTAGCAAATATTTAATATTTCAATTTATTCATCCCGCAGATGTTTACTGAACACCTACCATGTGCAGGCATGGAGCTAGCCCTGGTAATACAACGGCAAAATGTCCAGAAAGGGTTCCTGCCCTACATTTAACAGTTTATGCTTTACAAGTTTCTGTCATGTGTATTGTTTCATTTGAGCCTCTAGGCAAACTCACTTCACAAAATGAAGTTCCATGAGGCAGTAATAGCAAAGAATGCGTAAAACCTCCCAACCCCTCGCCCACTCTCTGGCCCCCATAATGATCCAAATAAGAAGAAAAAATAGCAGTGATGGTGATTTATTAGCAGAAGCATTTAGTGCAGTTGTATCTCATTACACAGCACTCTTTGGTATATGGTCTGTGCTTTCTAGTCTGTGCAGTCCTGGGAACGTGTAATTTCAATGACTTAAAGTTAACACTGTTGCATTACAACATATTTTAAATGAATGAAGTTTGATAGCTTTATGCATATACATTAAGGTGAAACAACAGCTAAGACAATAGTACTGTGTAAAGCAGTGGATATAAAATCCAGCTAATCTTTAGGGTTACCTGAAGAGGCTTTAAAAATAGAATTTGCTGGGACTCACCATAGATGGATTCAGTCTGATATCTAAGGGAAGAGCCTTGAGTTCTCTGATTGGTGAATTTGAGAAAGAGAGAGGAAGAGGAAATGCTTTCCTGAATTAATAGGAATTGCTCCTAATCAAGCCAGGGCAGGCTGGGTACTAATAAAGAGCTCTTGTGATAATAGACTACATGCCAAAGTAGCTCACTGTTATGTTTGAACAATTGTGAACAATTTTCAAATAGAGGAGTCTGGGCTTAATAGTCAGGAGTATTGATACAAAAAGAACAAAGAAATAAATCCTGCTAAGTCCATGCACAGTCTACATTGCACATGCCTTCCAAACCTTGTGACACTCAGCATGGATCCAGAAAGTTTTATTCTATAATACTGTTTTTTGTTTCACTAATGTCCTACATCCAATAGAAACTATGGGTCTCTGAGATCTTTTCACATGTCTTTTAGTTTGCTTGTTATCAGTGACTTACCAAGCAACTATATTCAAGATGTACTCTACTAGACAGTAAATAAGATAACAAAAAGAGATCTTGCCCTATAAATTTTCATATTTTTAATATAATTGATTTTCTTTTGAATTCTAAAATCACACCAATGAAGTTTAGCCAACAGAAGAGTCACATCACCTCCTTTCAAAATGGATTATGTATTTTCATACTTAGAAATTTTGATTCTAAGTCATTGTGACACAAATAGTACTGAATCTCCTTGAGGTCTATAGAATGGCAAACACTAATTAGATTTGGCTTCCACTTGTGGTGTTTAGTTATTCTCTCAAGACTTTTCTGCCATGATTCTCCTTCCTACACCTTTGTCTCAACCCTTGTGAACCACTAGAATCACCCAGGGTATTTTTGAAAAGTACCAATGCCTAAGCCTTCCACTCAGATCAGTTATCCAGCCTTCTTGGGATGAGGTCAGGCATCATATATTCTAAAGCTTCCTGGGTGATTCTGATATCTGATCTGTGCTGACAGCCTCTCTGTAGCCACAAGGAGGTCCTCTGCCTTCCTTCACAGCCTCATGTTTTGTGCTCCCATGCCTTCGTGCTCCCATGCCTTTGTGCATGGTTTTTCTTCCTATCAGAACACCCTTCCTCTCCAGTCCTCATGTCCTCACCATACCCACCCTTCCAGACCCAGTTCAAATGCTATCTCTTTCATTAACTTGTTTTTGAATATCTTTGGTCCAAAGTACATTCTGCCTCCCCTGAATTCTTACAGAACTTTTTCTGTCCTCTCAGGTTACTTTCTAGCTTGCCATTTCTATGTGTATATTTTCCCACCCACTCACCAGTTAACCTGTAAGCTTTTTAGGACAAGAAATCTACCTTCCAGATTCACCTTTAAGCTTCATAGTTCTCAACAGTTGCCAAGGAAACATCAAATGAGAAAGGGGGGGGGTGGAGGGAAGAATAAAGAGTGGCAGACATCCATCCAGCTCACTTGTGTGCCCTGTACTCATCCAGCAATACTGTCTCTCTCCTCTCTCACACACACATGTTCTTTCTCCCTCTCTTTCTTTTCTGAGTACTGGGGGAAAGTGAGCTCTCTCAAAAACTTTTCTAGATAGATATACATAATATAAGTTCTATCTGTACCTGAATGATCTGGTAGTTGCAATATTGAAAGCATCAACTCAAAATTTGCCAACTATAGCAGGACCTCTACTTCCAGTCCTTTTTACTTTTCACCTGGGTTACTGTTATTCTGCTTGTCTTCTCCAGCTTTTCCTCCCTCGTCTGTACTGCTCTACACCTTCTAACATTAAAGCCCAACTTTCATCCTGTTATTTCTCTGCACAAGATGCTTGGCATATTTCCCCATTTCCTATTGAGTCCAGTCCAAGATCTGCCTCAGTCCTGCAGTCAAAGCTTCTGATGACCTCTCCAGGCTTAATTCCCAATTCACCCCTTCAATCCAACGCAGAAGCCAAATTGAACTATTTGGGTTTTCCCTTGTCTGTTTTATACTTGTGAATCTTATCTTGGGTAATAGGTTTAATTCCTGATATTGACTCCCTTTCCCTCCTTATGTGTTCGATTCTCCCCCTCTCTAGTTCAATTTCTGTTTTTTGTTTTTTTTTTATGATCCTGCTTCTTTTTTTTTTTGTTGTTGTTGTTTTTAAATTTTATTATACTTTAAGTTTTAGGGAGCATCTAGTTCAATTTCTAATCATCCTTTAAGTCCCCACTAAAAGTTTACTTCCTCCATTATCACTTAACATTATCTCCAATGCTCTCCCTTCACCATTCCTTTCCACTAGCTCCTGTCCCCAGATCAAAAATCATCTCTTCTTTCACTGAATTCCAAAAGTATTTCTCTCCTGTGCAATGTATCATTTTCTGCATTATACTGCAGTTATGTTTTGACTTATTTCCCTAAAAACACTAAGAGCACTTAAAGGGCAAAGATTGAAGTCTTGCTCATCTTCACCTCCCCATGTGACTCATAATATTTAAGCTTCATTGATGGTTTCTACTAATAATTAACTGTTGACTGTCAGTGAGTCATTTAATCTGTTGAAGTCTGTTCATAAATCAAAATCATGTTCTAATTCAATAATCTTAATTTGAGATAGTTTAAATTATATATTTCTGGGACTGCACAAGAAGGTATGAAAGCATAGACCAAAATAAAGATTTCTGCATAGTTCCTACAAAATCTGATTTCAGCAATAAATTCTTGCATTTTTTGTGACTTATTTGGGTTAATATAGGGAAAATGACTATACCCATTTCTGCTATCACTGCTATATCAAATGACTAACATAATTTACTCATTAACTTTTAATTAGTGTAGCACTATTACTATTATTATTATTGTTATTATTGCTTTTGGAGGGAATGATCCATTCAATCATCAATTCAATGAATATTTATCAAATATTCATTAGCAAGGCATTTTTCCAGGTGATGGCCTCTCAGAAATGGGAAGTGAGAATAGCTGGTGTAACTAAGAAATATATATATATTTTGTTGTAACTATTGTATACAATCTCTCTCTCTCTCTTTCTTGCCTTATTAGTGGTTCATGCCAGTTTTAGACCACTTATGCTATGGTAAGACTCAAAGCAAACTATCCCATGGTTAGTGTTTTTGAAAAGTAAAAAAAAAGTGTATTTAAAAAATTTGTCCAAATAATATATTGGACAGAGTGCAAAGTGCTTCCATTTAATTCTTCTAAAGATAATACACTGGAAACATTTTGGTGGGTGTGAATCACTCAAACAAGCATTCTTCACTCAAAAATAGAAACTTGGCTTATTTGTTCCAGATGTTATACAGCTGCAGGGAAGTTAAAGCCAGTGGTCCTGTTTTCAATGCAACCAAACTCTTATTGCATTTGGAATTTCCTAACCAATGAACTCATATTACTTGTTGTAAGACCTGCACAAGTTTCTGTTTCCACTGTTACCATTCCCAAACAACTGCCTTTCACGGGAAACATACTTCAGAATTAATGAGTCCACATCTGTGTTGGACAAAGTAAACACATCCTGTTTATCACTGTTTCCACCTTTCATTTATCTTGACCTCTTTAATTTTAAGCATAAAGTATTTCAAAGAGGGTACATGAAGGAGAAGAAAAGGAGAGCTGAGTTGCTCTTACAATATTTTACAGCTCTTTAACTACTGGAGTTATGAGATGTTCACCTTAGGAAGGATTTCAATAAAAATTGCTAAGAAAAATATTGACTATAAAAATGTAATTTCTATCAATATGTATTAGTAGTTATTAAAGTAACTGCAGATATTTATTTTGCTTATTTCTTGGTTCTTCCTTAGGTCTATAAGAAATTTTATGTTGGATGCATGAAATAAAAAAGATCTTGGATCTTTGAAGAAAGAATAAGTTAAGAAATTTTGTAGCAATGTACAATACATCTTGTCCACAATAATTAAAATATATAAGTGTCTTTCTACTTATTTTTTGAGAACAGAATGCCTGATGTTTTTAGACTATTGACTTTTTATGGAGATTTTTTCTCAAACTGCAGTTCATGAACAACCTGTAGCAGAATCACACAGGCTTCTTATTAAAATATGTACTTCTGGTCCCAGTCGAGGCAGAATCTCTAAAAACTGGGCCTGGTACTTTAAAGGAACTCTAGAGATCAGAAAGAAACAAAACAAACAACAACACAACAACTACAACAACTCTCTATCTTCTAGTTGTGACCACTAAAACCCAGGGAAGTTGAGTGAATTTATCAAGGTCATGCAGCCAATTAATAGTAAAGCCTAGGACTCTGTTTACTAATGCTGAGACCAACATTTCTTTTCATAAGTCTACTATTAATTTTTACTTTCCACAAGATAAAATTAAAATTTAAAGAAATATACGTATCCAAATGTTGTTGTATGTCTCGCCTAATAATTCTTACTCTTACCACTCATTAACCAAATGCTTGCTCTTTATTCAAGAGTTGGAAAAAAATTTCTTCAAATTTATCATAAAATCTAATCAAAATCTTTCAGAAAAAAGGAGACAAATGTTATATGTCATACTGAAATCTCATGGTTGACTATTTTGGAAGTTTGAGTTTGAGTTAAAATTATTTGAACGATGTTTAAGCAACAGTTCACATTCAATAATGATTCCCCAAAGACTGTAAAAACTACAATTCATGACATGCATTCTTGAAATATGCCATTAGTTAAAATACAGCCCTAAAATAGTTTAAATATGATGTCATTCAAAATTGATTCAAATATTTGTTTCACACATCTTAACAAGAGCATTCATAATTTAAAATCTTTTCTTATTTATATAGTTTAGACTTCTAAGGAAATGACTCTGGAAATGCTATTTATTAAGTTTTCTGTACTTTGCCCCTACTGATCTCATTTTGACACCCATAAGTAAAGAAGAACCACTAGAGAGAAGGTATGTTGATAAAGTACTCTGGTATTCATAGATTCATAATAAATACAGCCCTAAAAACTCTCTGATCCAGTACTTCATTTCACTAATGAGAAACCTGAGACCAAAAAAGAGTATTGTTATTTTGAAGGAGATAGCATTGTGTTAGAACCTGCCAGTTGTCTACTTAAACCTCTCTTCTCCCTGTCTCAGAATACCTGTTTTTAGCTGGGTGCATTGTCATTTGAATAAAGATTATATTTCCCAGCTTTGCATGTAGCTAATCACCTCCATAAGACTAACTTCTTACAATGGAACATAAGTGATGGTTTGTGCAGTAGCTTTTTGGAAACTCCCTTTAAAGGCATCAGGGGAATGTTCTTTGTACCCTCTCAACCCCATCCAGGCATTATGTTTTGAATGTGGTTATTTTGGCTGGAGACCTATTTTGGCCCAAGAAAATGAGGATCACCCTGGCCCAGATGACTGTGGAGCTGTCATTTAAACCTTGGACTGTCACCATCTACACTTACATGTGGAAGAGAAAGCAGCTTCTATCCTGTTTAAATTACTATCTTGGCATTTCTGATATTTGTAGCTGTATCTCATTTCAGGTAATCATCTATTTCTTGTTACAGAATTATGGTCATTAATTCTTTAAAGACATGGTTATTTAGCATTTTTTTTTTTTTTTGAGACGGAGTTCTGCCTCTCAGGTTCAAGCCATTCTCCTGCCTCAGCCTGCTGAATAGCTGGGATTACAGGCATGCGACACCATGCCTGGATAATTTTGTATTTTTAGTACAGATGGGGTTTCTCCATGTTTGCCAGGCTGGTCTCAAACTCCTGACCTCAGGTGATCTGCCCGCCTCTGCCTCCCAAAGTGCTGGGATTACAGGTGTGAGCCACCGCGCCTGGCCTATTTAGCATTTTTTATGTGCAAGGAACTGTACTAAGTGGATATGAAATACAGACTGGATTTTTGACTTTGGTTTTCTAAAAACTTTTGGAAAAGTTTTTATAACCTGACCCCCCTTTCCTTTGGCCCATCCTTGTCCATATTCCATGTGTATCAAACAATTTTTATTTATTTTACTATGAAAGAATCTTTTTCTTGCTTTTGGATTTTAGACTGACACTTTCATGTGAATAATAGTTTTCAAAATTTAAAAACAATAACAAAATGAAACCCACCGATACAAGTCAAACACATAATGACTTCAAGCAAAGTTTTAACTTTCATCCCGAGACATAGGACAAATCATAATAAAAAGTCATGATTCAAATGCAGTCTTTGAAAATATGCAAGATGTAAATATTTTTCTTTGAACAAATTCAAAATATCATGAGACATGTCTTTAAAATATTTAAATAAAAGTGTTTTCCAAATTAACACTTAGAAATACATTAAGAGCCAAACCATTTTTAGTGTTAGTCACATACACAGAGGGGTATTAGAATTCTGGGTACAAATGTAAGTTCAGAATCTCCCTTCTCTGAATGACGCTCCTCCCCACTAACAGCAACAAGTGGCTGGACATCTGCAGGATCGGGGGAAGCACATGCGTGGCCTACTGGCTCCCTGGTGCAATTCTGTGCTAGGCATGGAGAAGTGTTTCCACTTGTGAGTTCTGTTTAAATTCCCCCTAAACTCTTTCTTATTAATTTCTAATAATTTATGAAGCTATGCAGTGTTTTTTAAAAGGTAGTACATGCTCTAAGTTTCAAAATGTTATTTCCTTTCTAAATTTAACAACTTAAGAGTGTCAAATATTTAACAGATTTTTTGAATAGTGGCAGAAATACAATAACATGTGAAGAGGTAACTAACTAAGTGTAAAAGAAGAATTACCTTTGGGTCCACATTAAGAATTTTTCTGTCTCTTTTGTATCTGAAAAGTAAGCCTTCTGGATTATCGGCAATCACTTGATAGTTGGGACTTGAATTACTAACAGCAATATCAGCGTCCCAGTTGTAAAAGCTATAAAAATAAACATTTATTAGGAATTAAGATGTATAATGCATTAAATTGACAAATATAGTTTAAGAACTATTTGGGGAAGTTCAGTCATAAGATAAGTGGATACAAACATGCCATACAACCATGTAGAACACATTTGAGATTAAAATTCTTGCACAAGAGATTAGATTGGGTTATTCCCAAATCATTTAGACACATATTTATGATGCTTTTGCATGATTTTCTGGACACTTCTAAGACCTAGGGCCTATTACAGTACTATTACATTCCCAGGAAGTCAAGATGAAAATTGATGCAATTTAAGGCTATTTGTTCTAGTTCAGGTTCTTCAGGGTATTAAGAGACTGTTTACTGGAAGGGAGGGCTCACTAAATCACCTCTTTTCATTCAAAACAATTCCAAATAAATTCACTTCTTTCAGGCTCCGCTTTTTTTCCTCAATAATATGTTTCTCAGGGAGTGAGGAAACTATTTATGTTTGAGTGGTTACCGTGAGCCAAACGTGATGTGATCTATGCTATCACAACCCCCATATGAAGTTGCTCTCATTTTATGGACAAAGCAAAACGACTCGGGGAGGTCAACTAGCATCATTAAAGTCTTGAAACTAATATGCCACAGGGCTAATATTTCAATCCAAATTTGTATGTTTCAAAGCATACATATGCCACTTTCTATTTTTCAATATTGCCTTCAAGTATTATTTATTTATTTATTTATTTATTTATTTATTTATTTATTTATTGAGATGGAGTCTTGCTCTGTCTCCAGGCTGGAGTGCAGTGGCGTGATCTCAGCTCACTGCAACCTCCGCCTCCTGGGTTCAAGCAATTCTCCTGCCTCAGCCTCCCAAGTAGCTGGGACTACAGGTGTGCGCCACCACGCTCAGCTAATTTTTGTATTTTTAGCAGAGATGGGTTTCACCATGTTGGCCAGGATGGTCTCGATCTTTTGACCTCGTGATCTGCCCACCTTGGCCTCCCAAAGTGTTGGGATTACAGGCGTGAGCCACTATGCCCAGCCCATTTTATTTTTATATTTTGTACAGAAACTTCCTATTTTTTCTACATTCTGTTTTGTACTTACTTGTCAGAAATGAATGCAATACTGTCATATGAATTGAAAGAATCCTCAATATATTTACACTTATTTTTACATATCTTATAAAATATAAAATAAAAATCTACTTATTTTTATGTATCTTATTCCTACTAATGCATTTCTAATACTATATTTGCTTTTAAAATGATGGTCACAGAAATAACACAAACCAGGGTGCCTCTCAAATGTTTGTAATATTTATTTTTAATGATATTCTTCTGATCCTGTTTCTAGGTCGTTTTGCCCTCTATTACTCCCTTTCTTTTTTGAAAATAGAAAGTTTCATTGTTTAAACTTACTGAATTATATTGTTTTCTGAGGCATCATTATTACCACTTTCATATTATTACCTAAAAGTGCAATGTTTACTCTCAAATTTTTCAATATTTAGAAATGATTGATTGTATAGATCATATATTTATGTCACTGGGAGGGGGGCGTATCAGTGAGAACAATTTTCTTTCCCTACTACCTTTTCTATGGCCAGGACATAGAATGTCTGCCCTACTGAGGCACAGAGTAAGAAAAAGGAATTTTCCAAATATCTTTGTCTGTTTAGTCAATTCTCCCTAAGAAAACAGGAATGACTATGTGATTAGTGAATTGAGAATTGTGCATTCATGGCCTTTTAGGCCCTCAACTTAATAAGCCTTCACAAGTGAAGTTTAAGATGACAGGCTCAGCCCCCCAGTGGAGTGATTGCAGCAGATGATTCTGTAGCATTGGCAGTCAATTCAATGGTGAAGGCATTAGAAGCCAATTTGACTATCTACGCAAGCTGGATTTTCTAATTCAGTTTAATTCATAATAAAAAATATACTTTGATATCCATATTACTGACTTTTCAGTTAGGATATTGCCAAATTGGAGTGGGGAATATGGGTGTGATTTTCAACTGTACATATATTCTCCTTCAATAATTATTTATGAGATATATAGATATAGATAATTCTACCAAAATACTTGAGTCAGAGATGTGCTTAGAGTGGCATGGTTTATATTACACATTCCTATCTTGTTGCTCAGACCCCAAATTAAAAGTCTTATTGAAGTCCAGGAAGATTTTTATATAAATGTTTTCTACATAAAAAAAGTATATTTGTATAGAACATGATTCTTTTGATGAAGACATTTTGGTTGTTTCATCAATACTTTTGTTCTCCTAAGCAGAGATGGAAAATAGGCTTTTTATAGTAGCTGATTATTATTAGTATTTAATAAAAATAAATAATAATTATCTAGTAATGGTCATGTGCTAGGTACCGTTATAAGTCTAATGAATCTATTATCTCACTTAATCTTATCACCAAATCCATGGAGTAGGTATAAAATATCCATTGTATTCATGTAGAACTGACAGGAAAATGACCACTTGGATTCCAACGTTAAAGACTGACTCCAGAGCCTGCACTGACTAACGCATGTACTCTTTGTCCCACGTACTACTGGTTGTGACTACACTACCTGAAGCTCTGTAGCATATATGACTGCTGATCAAAATACAAATTTTCAAATTTTTCTTGGTAGACCTCCAGACTACAACCATGGTCTCTCTTGCAGTGTAGCCGCGTAATAGCAATTTAGTCAATGGAACAACTATTTTCCACTACTAGTGTGGGCCCATCAAAAACCATCCATGTTCTTTTTCCCATCCAGCTAGCTGGATGAAGATGATAAATTTGAAAGCCATTGATATGGTTTGGATCTGTGTCCCTTCCCAAATCTCATGTTGAATTGTAATCCCCAATGTTGGAGGTGGGGCCTGGCAGGAGGTGATTAGATCATGGAGGCACATTTCCTTCTTGGTACTGTCCTCACAATAGTGACTGAGCTCTTGTGAGATCTGGTTGTTTAAAAGTGTGTACACCTCCCTTGTCTCTTTCTTCTTCCTGCTCCAACCATGTAAAGTGCCTGTTCTCACTTTGCCTTCCACCATGAGTGAAAGCTCCCTAAGACCTCCCCAAAAGCATGTGCTGCCATGCTTCCTGTACAGTTTGCAGAACCATGAGCCAATTAAACCTGTTTTTGTTTTGTTTTGTTTTGTTTTTTTAAATAAATGACCCAGTCTCAGATGTTTCTTTATAGTAGTGCGAGAACAGACAAATACAGCTGTAGCTGTATGTGAAAGATATTTGGACTTTGGAGAAATGTAAGGACAAATAGTTGAGCTAGTTGAGAAAAATCTCTATTTAGTGGTTTCCTATGACATCTATGTTGCTTTAAATCTATGAAATTTTCAATTAAACAAGCATTTAACTAGTATGCAGTATATTCCAGTTAGGTCCTGTAATTACGGTTTCTACAAAATCAAACATGTTCTTGGGAAACAGTGGTCTGGCACAGTGTTTCTTAAACTGAGATCCATGGCAAATTTCTGGTAGTGTGAATTCTCTCTGAGCAGTTTAATATATGTAAACTATAAATATAGTCAGCCCTTTGTATTCCACAGATATGAAATAAAAACCCGGGATTAAAAATATTTGGGAAAAAATGTGTCTTTATTGAACATGTACAGACTTTTCTTTGTCATTATTTCCTAAACAGTACAGTGTAACAACTATTTATACAACATTTACATTGTATTAGGGTTTAAGTGATCCAGAGATGACTAAAAATATAGAGGAGGATGTTCATAGGTTATATGTAAATATTACACAATTTTATATCAAGGACTTGGGTATTCATGGATTTTGCTACCTATGGGAGGCCCTGGAACGAATCCCCCACAGAAACAAAGGGAAAACTGTATATTCTGAATTATCTAGATGATCATTTTATTACTCATTACAGAACTATATCATCTCAGTACCTATCTGTGTGCTTATATTTACCATTGTCTTCATGTCAAATTAAAATAATTGAATTAGGCCTTCAACTGATTAGGGCACAGTAGTATGTAACTGAGTAATTTGTATATATATTTACAAGGTATAATTTTTTAGGACAGAGAGATATTAGTACTTAAAGGGAATTTGTACAAACGAAAATAAACTGAAAAAACTCACGAAGGTAACTTTTTGTGAAATGAAAATATTTTATTGAAAAGTAAAAAGGCCAGAGGGACATCAGCAAGATAATGGAATAAGAGACTCCAGCCCTCACTCCCCTACAGCAACAGCGATTTTAACAATGATCTAGGAACTGTATGCATCTGTGGGAAACTGGAAGTCCAGTGGAGAGATTCTAGAACCCCGTTCGTGGAAAAAAAGTTTGAGGATAAACACACTGAAGTGGGTAAGAACAGTTACACTTTACCCACATCATCTAAGGCAGCATAGCCTAGGGCCAAGGGAGATCCCGCAGGCCCATGATTTCTCCCATAGGGGAAAATGATAGCTGAGTGAGGGCCTAGCTTCCCCAGTCTTATGGAATGGTACCCAAGAGGCTTACACTGGTCTTCCCACTCCCAGATTACTGAGGTGATTGGCATGACTAAATAGTCTTGGGGGGAACTAGGAGCAGGTAAGAAGGGATGAGGCTTCAAAACAACCACTGTGAAGATCTCAAAATATGGCCATATATCCTACTAAGTGGCTTATGGACTCCACCAAGAGGCCCACCCGTGAGCTCTATGGAAAACCTCATCTGCAGTGTCCCTTACTGGCTAATATGCACCCTCTTCATTCTATGTGCGCTGCTGAGATGGTGCGAGCAAATACTCACAGAGAGTGCATGTAGATCAGCAGCCAGCTCAACTCTGCAGGACTGGGAAAAGGTATACAAGATTAAATACTTCAGGGCATTGCCATGTGAAAAATAAAGAGGAGGCTCTCAACACCTGGCTTGACTTAACAGGATCAAGAGAAGACACACAATCCCAGGACTTCCTCATAGGAGGAAAAAAGAGCAGTGGGGTGGGCAAACCCATAAAAAAGGCCTGAGAGACCCTCAAAATCTCTAGTTAAGCTGACTTGTGAAGGTCTTCTTTGAAGACAGATAGTAAAGACTTGAAAATGTGACTGCTTCTTTCAACACAAAACTTTAAAAATATGAAGAATCAAGGAAACATGAGACTACCAAAGAAACAAAATAAAGTTCATGTGGCTGACCTAAAAGAAATGAAGATTTACAAGTTGTGTGACAAATTATTTAAAATAGTCATATGAGCTCAATGAGCTACAAAAGAACACAGATTTACAATTAAATTAAATCAGAAAAGCAGTACATAAACAAAGTGAGAAATTCAACAAAGAACTAGAAATCATAAAGATGAAGACTACAATGACTGAAAAAAAAATCAACAGAGAGCTGCAACAGCTCACTTGATCAAACAGAAGAAAGAATCAGCAAACTCAAAGACAGATCATTTGAAATTATCCAGTCAGAGGACTAAAAAGACAAAGAATGAAAAAGAGTGAAGAAAGCCTGCATTGCTTATAGGATGCCATCAAATGAGACAGTATATGTAGTATAAGAGTTCCAGAAGGAACAGAGAAAAAGAAAATAAAATAGTTTACTTAAAGAAATAATGAGACAAAACTTTGTAAATCTTGGGAAAAAATGAACATCCAAATCCATGATGCACAAAGATTCCCAAATAGGCTAAACATCAGTTAATCTTCACTGAGACACATTCTAATCAAATTGCCAAAAGTCAAAGACAGAGGGAATTTTGTAAGCAGCAAGAGAAATGGTTAATCATCTACAAAGGGAACATTCCCCTCTCCCCAAATAATAAAACCATTAGCAGAAATCTGAGTAGAATGTTTATGGGCCAGGAGAGAGTAAAACAATATATTTAAAGTGCTGAAAGAAAAAACAACAACAACAAAAACCTGACAACAAAGAATTATTTACTTGGCAAAGCTATCCATAAAAAATGTAGGAGAGATAAAGCCTTTCTCTGGTGAACAAAAATCAAGCAAGTTTATTACCAATATACCTGCCTTACAAGAAATGCTACAGGATGTTCTTCAAGATAAAACAAAAGAACACTCAGTAAAAACATGAAAACATAAAAGTATAAAACTTACTGGTAAAGATAAGTACATACTCTAATTCAGAATTGCCGAGGCCAGCTCAGTCGGGGAGACCCTAACCTAGCAGCGCTAGAGGAATTAAAGACACACACACAGAAATATAAAGGTGTGGAGTGGGAAATCAGGGGTCTCACAGCCTCCAGAGCTGAGAGTCTCTAACAGATATTTACCCACGTATTTACTGACAGCAAGCCAGTGATAAGCATTGTTTCCATAGATTATAGATTAACTAAAAGTATTCCTTATGGGTAACAAAGGGATGGCCAAAATAAAGTGATGCGTTTGGCTAGTTATCTGCAGCAGGATCATGTCTTTAAGGCACAGATGGCTCATGCTATTGTTAGTGGTTTAAGAACACCTTTAAGCAGTTTTCCGCCCTGGGTGGGCCAGGTGTTCCTTGCCCTCATTCTGGTAAACCCACAACCTTCAAGCGTGGGTGTCATGGCCATCACAAACATGTTAACTGTGCTGCCCAGCTTTTGTTTACGGCCCGTTTTGGGGCCAGTATATGGCCAGATTTTGGGGGGCCTGTTCCCAACACAGAATCCTCTAATACTATAATGATTATGTAAGGGTCATTTTTAATGCTAATGTATAATCTAAAGAAAAAAGTATTAAAAATAACTATAGCTAGAATAACTTGTTAATGGATATATATCATAAACAGGTGTAAATAGGGACATGATATCAATTACATAAAATAGAGGGAGAAGTAAAAGTGTAGAATTTGTTTGTGATCAAAGTTAAGTTTTTATAAGTTTAAAATAGCCTGTCATAACTATAAGATGTTTTATGTAAGCCTCATTGTAGTCATACAAAAAACAAAACACCAGTAGCAGATTAAACAAAGATTAAAAATGCACAATCCAAATATAATCCCACAAAAAATTAACAAATCTCAAAGGAAAATAGCAAAAGATAAAAAAGAGAACAAGAACTACAAAACATTTTGAAAACAATGAAATGGCAATAAAAAGTCCTCACCTATCAATAAATACTGCAAATTTAAATGAATTAAAATTTCCAGTCAAAATAGAGAGTGACTAAATCAATTTTGTAATAAAAAAGATCCAACTATATGCTGCCTGCAAGAGATTCACTTTAGGTTTGAGGACACATATAAATAAAATTAAGGAATAGAAAATATTCCTGAGGCCAAGGTGGGCAGATCATTTGAGCCCAGGTATTTGAGAGACCACCCTGGGTAACATGGTGAAACCATGTCTCTACAAAAAATACAAAAACATTAGCCAGGCATGGTGGTGTACAACTGTAGCCCCAGAAACTCAGGAGGTTAAGGTGGGAGGATCGATTGAGCCTGGGATATTGATGCTAGAGTGAGGTGTGATCACACAACTGTACTCCAGCTTGGGAAACAGAGTGAGACCCTGTCTCAAAAAAAAAAAAAAAAAAAAAAGAAAGAAAAAAAAAGAAAAAAGAAAAATGATATTCTATGCAATGATAACCAAAAAAGAAAAAAATAGTTATTCTTAGACAAAATAGACTTTAAAAAACTCTCAAATGAAATAGAAGGTCATTGTATAATGATAACAAGATTAATTCATCAAGATGAATTAACAAAGATGTATCACTCAATGCGGGAGCACCTAAATGTATAAAGCAAATATTAATAGAACTGAAGGAAGAAACAGACGGCAATATAATAACAGTAGAAAACATCTACACCCCACTTATATCATTGGATAGATCACCCAGCCAGAAAATGAATAAAATACAGAGGATTTGAAGAACACTATAGTACAAAGGGACCTAACAGATAAAGGACATTATAGATGTAGAACATTTCATCCAACAGCAGCAGAATATACATTCATCTCAAGGACACATAGAACATTCTCCAGAATAGATCATATCTTAGGTCATATAACAAGTTTTATTTTTTTCATCTTATCATGTTTTATTTTTTATTTTTTTATTTTTATTTTAGGTACAGGAGTACATGTGCAGATTTGTTATATAAGTAAACTCACGTTATGGGTGTTTGTTGTATAAATGATTTAGTCAGGCATGTACTAAGCCCAGCATCCAATAGTTATTTTTTCTGATCCTCTCCCTCTTCCCACCCTCCACCCTCAGGTAGGTCTCAGTGTCCGTTGTTCCCCTCTTTTTGCCATGAGTTCTCATCATTTAGCTCCAAATTATAAGTGAAAACATATGTTACTTGGTTTTCTGTTCCTGCATTAGTGTGCTAGGGTAATGGCCTCCAGCTCTATATGTTCCCATAAAAGACATAATCTTGTTCTCTTTCATGGCTGCATAGTGTTCCATGGTGTGTTGTATATGTACTACGTTTTCTTTATCTTGTTTACTATTGATGGGCGTTTAGGTAATTGCATGTCTTTGCTATTGTGAATAGTGCTGCAATGAACATACACATGCATTTATATCATAAAATGATTTATATTCCTTTAGGTATATACCCAGTCATGTGATTCCTGGGTCAAATGGTATTTCTGTTTTTAGGTCATTGAGGAATCAGCACGCTGTTTTCCACAATGGTTGAACTAATTTACACTCCCACCAACAGTGTATATGCATTCCCATTTCTCCACAAGCTCATCATCATCTTTGATAGGTTGATGCAAAAGTAATTATGTTTTTGCCATTAAAAGTAATGGTAAAAGCTACAATTTTGCACCAACCTAATTTTGTTTTGACTTTTTAATAATAGACATTCTGACTGATTTGAGATGGCATCTCATTGTGGTTTTGATTTGCATTTCTCTAATGATCAGTGATGTTGAGCTTTTCTTCATATGCTTGTTGGCTGCATGTATGTCTACTTTTGTAAAGTGTCTCTGTTCATGTACTTTACCCACTTTTTAAGGGGGTTGTTTGTTTTTTCTTGTAAATTTAAGTTCCTTTTAGATAATGGATAGAACCTTTGTCAGATGCATACTTTGCAAATATTTTCTGTCATTCTGTAGGTTGCCTGTTTACTCTATTGATAATTTATTATGCCATGCAGAAGCTCTTAAGTTTAATTAGATCCCATTTGTCAATTTTTTATTTTGTTACAATTGCTTTTGGCATCTTTGTCATGAAATCTGTGCCTGTTTCTATATCCAGAATGGTATTGCCTAGCTTGTCTTCCAGGATTTTAAAAGTTTTAAGCATTACATTTTAGTTGTTAATCAATTAGAGTCGATTTTAGTATATAAGGAAGGGGTTCAATTTCAACCTTCTGCTTATCGCTAACCAGTTATCCCAGCATCATTTATTGAATAGGGAATACTTTCCCCATTGCTTGCTTTTTTTAAAAAAAATCATATTTGTCAAAGATAAGATAGTCACAGTGTGTGGCCCTTCTTCTGAGCTCTCTATTCTGTTGCATTGGTCTATGTGTCTGTTTTTGTACCAGTAGCATGTAGTTTTGGTTACTGTAGCCTTGTAGAGTAGTTTGAAGTTAGGTAATGTGATGCCTCCAGCTTTGTTCTTTTTGCTTAGGAATTTAAGCAGATGCAATTATACCAAGTACAGTTTCTGACACAATGATATGAGACTAGAAATAAATAATGTGAGGAAAGTTGGAAAATTCAAAACTTTGTGGAAATCAAACACCACGTTCCTAACCAACCAACAGGTCAAGGAAGAAACCAAAAGCTAAATAAAAAAATACATTGAGATACATTAAAATGGAAACATGCTATACCAAAACTTACGAGATTCAGAAAAAGCACTTTTAAGAAGGGACTTCATAGTGATAAGTACCTATATTCAGAAAAAAATCTCAAATAAATAATCTAAATTTATATTCAAGGAGCTATAAAAACAAAAAGCTAAACTCAGAGTTAGCAGAAGGAAGGAAACACTAATGATCAAAGAAGAAATAAATGAAATAGACAAACATTAGAAAAGATAAATGAAACCAAAAGCTGGCTGTTAGAAAAGATAAATAAAGTTGACATACCTTAAGTAGACTAATTTAAAAAAGAGAGAATGCCCAAAGAAAGTTAGAAATGAAAGAGAAGACATTTTGTTTGATACCACAGAAATACAAAGGATCTTAAAACACTATTATGAACACTTACCAACAAATTGGATAAACCAGAAGAAATGGATACATTCCTGGAACCATCCAACCTAACAAGATTGAATCTTGAAAAAAGAGAAAATCTAAACAGACAAATAATGAGTAACAAAGTTGACTCAGCAATGAAAAAAAAAAGCTTAGAAAAAGATATCTTCACTTGTGAATGCTTCCAAACATTTAAAGAAAAATTAATACCAATCCTTTTAAACTCTGAAAAGATTGAATAGGAGGGAATATTTCAAAATTCATCTTATGGGGCCTACTTTATCCTGATACAAAAGCCAAAGAATCCACCTGCAGAGACAATTATAGACCAATAACCCTGATAAACATAGATGAAAATTCTTCAACAAAATAATAGCAAACTAAATTGAATGGTATATCTAAAGATTATACACTATTTGCAAGTAGGATTTATCCCTCGGATACAAGGATGGCTCAACATATGCAAATAAATAAATTTGATATATCACCATATGATGAAAATCACACAATCTCCACAGATGCAAAAAAAAGCATTTGACAAAAGTTGACATCCTTTCATGGTAAAAACTCTCAATAAAGTAATACAGAAGGAATGCACTTCAACACAATAAAGGCCATATATAGCAAATCTACAGCTAGCATCATATTAAACGGTGAAAATCCGAAAGTTTTTTCTCCAAGGTTAGGAACAAGACAAGGATGCCTACTCTCACCATTTATATTCAATGTAGTGCTGTAAGACCTAGCCAGAGCAAATAAGAAACAAAAAGAAATAGAAGACCTTCAAACTTGAAAGAAAAAAGTAAAATTGCCTCTGTTTGCAAATGATATCATCTTATATACAGAAACCCTTACTGACTTGACCAAAATATTGTTATAATTAATAAAGGAATTCAGTAAGTTTACAGGATAAAATCAATAATAAAAGTTCTGTTGCATTTATATACATTAACAATAAACTCTCTAAAAATGAAATTAAGAAAATAGTAACATTTATAGTACCCTCAAAAACAAACTTAAAAATAAAATTAACCAAGGAGGTGAAAGATATATACACTAAAAACTAGAAAACAATGATGAAATGAATTGATGTCATAAAAAAATAGAAATATATCTTATGTTTATGTATTTGAATAATTAATATTTAAAAATGTCTATATTACATCAAGCAATCTACAGATTCAATGCAAATATAATTTTGCCTTAAAAGAGAAGGAAATCCTGCCATTTGTGACACCGTGCACGGACCTGTTGGGCACTATGCTAAGTGAAAAAAGCCCGACAGAAAGGCAAATACTGTTTGATCTCACTTATATGTGGAACCTAAAATAGCCAAACTCATAGATGCAGAGAGTAGATTGATGGTTGCTAGGGGGTGCTGGGAGGATGAAGTGAGGAGATGTTGGTCAAAGGGATGAATACGTGATTGGTGATCTAATGTGTAATATGATGGCTTATGAGTAATAATATAGTACTGTAGGTCCTAAGTTTTCTCAAAAGAAAAGAAAGAAAGAAAGAAAGAAAGGAAAGGAAAGAAAGAAAAGGAAAGAAAGAAAAAGAAAGAAGGAAGGAAAGAAAATGGTAACAGTGTGAGGTGATGGATATGTTAGCTAGCTTGATTGTGGTGATTATTCAAAACGTATACATATATTTCACAGTTGTATACCTTAAATATATGTAATTTTTTAATAAAATGGAATATAGAAGATGTTATATTAATCATCGTGACATTTAAGTATTAAACACTATTGTCTTTTTTTTTAAATCTTTGTGTAGCCAGCCTGTAAAAAAGATGATTCTATAATTTTATTTTCCAAACTAGGATGCTATTGTGAAAGACAGGGCCTGCTACTAATAATTGTGCCAAGACAAGAGTAAGCTTGGACTATCCTGGGCAATCAGATGTGTGGTCTCCACACCTACAAATCATTTAAACACTGCTGAATTAGCGTTGATATATTCAATGTTTCTGTAAAATGCTTCCAAAGTTTTGCCATAGATTTGCCAAAAATATGATAGAGATATTTAAACAATGCTAAAACATGTTTTTTTATGGTTGATCCTTTTTATTTTATTTTCCTGCTGTGGAAAAAATTATATTACGTGGAATTGCATTTATGGTACAGAGACATGAAATTTAATCTAGAATAATAAATATTCATGTTCTTTTTTCTATTTTCAAATAATATCAAGTAATAATACATTCTGTAATAGGCTAATTTTTTGAAATGTTATATTCCATGTAAAAATATATGTTTGATCAGTTATTTGGGTTGATAGGAATATGAAATCTAAAGTTCAGTGTTGTTATAAGTCAGTTAACTTGGCTCCTATTTATGACTATATATTGTATCTCTAATTTCAATCTGAAATTTAATATATGGATATGCCATTTAGGAAAATACAGATAATGGTTGGAAAACCTACTATAATCTTTATAAAAATAATTAAGAAAATTAAGAGTTATGGCACAGTCAGAAGGTTAATTTAGTTCATTAGGTCATTTAGTTATGTATTATTATTACTATTTTACAGGAGAGAAAATTGAAGCTACAGAATGTTCTAGGTATTATATAGCAGAATGGGCATTCAGTCTATATTTTAAGATGATTTTTCTCATGGCTGGACTTTGCTAATTACTACCATATGTCAGACTTCTCAGGCTCCAAAAGTCCTGCTAGCCTATGGAATCAGTAAAGATTCCCTGCTAAGAGCAAACCACAGGGAGAGGGAAGGCAAGGAATAAACTCCCAAGTGGGACTTTTGAAGCCAATTGTCTCCTTACAGTTGAAAAAGCAGCCACAAAGAAACAGTTGTTTCCTCTCAGGGAAGGTACAGGGTGATTCCTGTTGAAAACTTGGCTTACTTCACTATGTGTGTTAGAGTAGGATTGAAAACCTTTGAGCTTGGCTTGGGTTCACACGGCCAGGGGTGTGTGTGTGCGTGTGTGCGTGTGTGTGTGTGTGTGTGCGTGCATGTTAAAATTAGCTAAACCAGCTAGCTAAACCAGGATGGTGATTGAAATAAAGCCTCCCTGTGCAGTCTTTTTGGGTTCCTGAGCCCCCTCTTGCCTTGCACTGATCATTGGCATGCTATGGCTATGGAATGAGTAGATTCTTGTAGGAGTAATTGCTTGTGCAAGTACCAGGGTTAAGACCTGAGTGAGACATGGCCTGCTTCAAGTTTGACAGAACTGGTGATCTGGTCCAGAACATCTCTAAATACTTGACATCGTTCATGTCAATTTTGCCAATTGTCTTGTTTGAATGGGGTGCTCTCCCTCTCAGAAACCATCATCCATCATGCCTCCCACTCAACTGGTCCATCTTAGAAATTCTAAGGGGAACATTTAGGTAAATAAGGATCTTTGGAGGTTTTCTGGCTTCAAAGTAGTTCTGTCCAATTTTTCCTGCAGGCCTACAGGAAAATTGTTGCTTAGAGGTCACACAGCTTAGGGTGAGGCGAGGAGCCAAGCAAAGTGCCCGTGAAGCCATGCTAATTCACTCACTCACTCACTCACTCACTCACTCACTCACTCACTCACTTATTATTATGTCTTTTCTCATTTAAAATCAATGGAGAGGATATTCTTCGGGATGGGAACACTTTTAGGTATTTGGGACAGAATGAGAAAAAAGATACAGTCCCTGCCTTATGATTCCACTGCTTAATAGGGAAAACCCAGATAATTCTAACAATACAAGAATGCCTGGAATGCTATGAAAAGACAGAGGAGAGAAACCTTGTCCAGACTGAGGGAAAAAAAAAGGACAGAATAATAGCTTTCTGGAGGGAGTAATGCTGCAGTTGAACCCTAGATCAGCAACAGGACTTAGTCCAGGAAAAGGGGTGGGATTTGGGATGGAAAAATGGCCTTCCAACTAAGAAAGATGGTATGGGGATTGCCTGCTGTTGAGAAACTGAATGGAGAATGCTGGAAAAGGAGTGGCCAGCAAGTCAATATCAGTGGAACAGAAAGTGTAAGCAGGTGTGTCTGAGTGAGAAAACACAATTTTTTCCCCTCCACTTTCACCCACAACAATCAACATAGAAGATTTCTGTGAACAAATGTGCATGAGGTTTTCCCCAAACACCAGCAAGCAAGCAATTTTGCAGCTGGCTGTCTTATTTCAGTTTAATTCTGACACTATCTACCTGGAGATAGTGTGAGATCCCACAGGTTGAAGTTCAGTCCTCAAGACCGCTCCGCCCACAACATCCACTTCAGATGTCAATCACAAGATTTAAGTTGCTTTATCTGTGCTTCCAACTGATTAGCTATTAATTAGAAATCCCATGACTCCCTCCTTGGCTTCTACTAACTTGCTACGGCAGCTCACAGAACTCAGAGAAACACATTCACTGGTTTATTATAAGGATACTACAAAGGATACAGATGAAGAGATGCATAGGGAGAGGTATGGGAAGGGCTTCCAAGCCCTTACTGGGGACTTCTACATGTTCAGCTATCCAGAAGCCCTTTGAACCCTGTCCCTTTGGGTTTTTATAGAGGCCTAATTAAATTGGCATAATTTATAAAGCCAATGGCCATTGGTGATGAACTTAACCTTCAGCCCCTCTCCCTTTTCTAGAGGTTGTTGTAAGGGGCGGGGATGGGACTGAAAATCCCAACAAATCAAGCTTTGTTCTTTCTGGTGATGCAACCATCCTGCAGTGTCCTAGGGCACCCAAACACCAGTCATCTCATTAGCATACAGAAAGACATCACTTTGAAGAAGAGTCCAAGAATTTTAGGAGTTATATGCCAGGAGATGGGAAAGAAGGCCAAATTTGTATTTCATAATATTACAGTGTATAAGAAATGAGACTGGAGACATACCCACAGAACAGATCTCAGAAGGCCTTGTTTACCACATCAAACAATATGAACTTTATTCTGCAGGTAATAAGGGCATCTGAGGGTGTAAGCAGAAAAGAGATATGCCCAGATATGCAGTTCCTGGTCCATCCTGGCAATGGGTGATGAATTGATTGAAGGGGCAGGAGGCAGAGAGAGTTGGAAGTCAGGGGACCAGTTTAGAATCTGTCTCATTAACCCAGGCTAGAATGGAAAAATGATTGTACATTATGGAGTTGGAGAAAATGAGATAATTTTAGGAAATATATAGAAGATAGCAATTATAGAATTCATTATTGAGCAGTGTTGCAGATGACCCTTAGGTTCCTAGCTTCAGAGACTGGATGGGTACCATAGAGACTGGATAGATAGTGATGCCATAGAGACTGGATGTATAGTGGTGCCATAGAGACTGGATGGATAGTGGTGCCACAGAGACTGGAGGGATAGTGGTGCTACAGAGACTGGAGGGATAGTGGTGTCATAGAGACTGGATGGGTAGTAGAGACCAGAGGGATAATGGTGCCATAGAGACTGGATGGGTAGTGGTGCCAGAGACCGGATGAGTAGTGGTGCCATAGAGATTGGATAGATAGTGGTGCTATAGAGACTGGATGGATAATGGTGCCATAGATACTGGATGGGTAGTGTTGCCATAGAGACTGGATGGGTAGCATTGCCATAGAGACTGGATGGGAACTGATACTACCACTTAGAAATGTTAGAAAGAAACACCTTGTCAGTGTCTGCAGTTTCTATGAACGGAAATTTTTCTCAAGCATGTCTGACCTTTTGTTCTACTGATTTGATGGGAATTAGAAAAATAGTGCACTGTGAAGAGACTTTATGGAACATCATCATTGAAGAAATGTGTAAGGTCCTGAGAAGAAGACAGAGATTTGCACACAAACATACAAGGAGAGTTATGATAGAATAATACTATGAGGACAGAACGGAATATGAGGTATGAAAAAATAATGGGAAGATACCCATTGTCAAATGCAGGAAAGGAATGGTAAAATGAACACCAAAATTTGGTAGCTGTTATTGGTAACTGTCCTTTTAGGGACTAGTGTACATTTATCTTAGACTAAAGAGATTTTATGGATAAGTAATCTTTGCTGTTAGTACTGGAATTATAAGATTAAAATTCTGTTCTTTAAAAAAAACAAACATTATTTGGCTTAATATATTCTCTCCTTCCTGCAAGGTCTTGGCAACTCAAATTTTACGACTATGAAAATATCTTGAGCCATTGCAACCTCATCCCTCACTTTTACATTATGAATATTGAGATGCTCTTTAGCTTTATTGATCTTTCTGTGAGTAGTCAGAAATTCTGCTTTATAATCACCATACTTTTCCTTCATATCTGTGGATAAATTTCTAGACTTTTCTAGAATAGTAATTTTCCAGTCATGACTGGACATGACAAAATAAGAATTTTCATTAAAAGAAATCAGTATAATGGGAGAGAAAACCATAGTTGGGCTTGGGTCCTAGGTATCAGCTAGAAAATTCAGGAGTATAGGTTTGTTGTGAGAGATACTGGCCACTCTTTCAGGCTCAGACACTGTGGCTGTGCCTGTGGTGAAATGGCTCTGAATGTGTGAAAACTAAAAAGAGACGTGCAGCTAAAGAGCACAATATTATAAATGAGTACTGTGAACCTAGGTTTAAGCAGCTTGGAACTATGATGAAGAAACAGAACAGAACGCTGGGGGAGAGACGCTTCCTTCTCTGTTGCTGTATCTGGAGAGAGATCATCAAGTTAGCAGTGGAGCACCAGGTCATTAAAGTAACTTTCTTAAGTGGACAGGAATTTACTTTGGTGGATACGTTATCAAGTTTAAGTGGTAGTGCTGATAGATGTGGTAGGTAGAATTGAAAATATCACCTGTGATCTATCCCTTCTGTCATTGCATTCACAAGTATGTTATGTGCTTTGGTAAAAAGGACTTTGCTGACTTTGTCAGTTTACTAGTGATTTGACCTTAAAATGGGAAGATTATTCTGGATTATTCAGGTAGGCACAATGTAATGACTTGAACTCTTAAAAGCCGCAGAGGAAGGCAGAAGAAGTAGGGGAAATTCAAAGCATGAGAAGGATTTAAGACACTGTTGCTGGCTTTCAGATACAGGGGCCATGGGACTCAGTCCAATAGCCAGAAGGAACTAGATTTTGCCAAGAATCTAAATGAATTTAGGAGCAGATTCCTCCCCAGAGCATCCGGAAAGAAATGCAGCTCTGCCAACACCTTGATTTCAGCCTTGTGAGACCCTGAACTGAGAATCCAGCCACACTGTTCTGGACTTCTGACACACAGAACTGTGACGGGATAAATGAGTGTCATTTTAAGCCACTAAATTTGTAGTAATTTGTGACTTAGCAGTAGGAAACCAATATATTAGACCTTGGAGGGGTCTTGGTGTTACCTTAAGGGAGCATGTTGAAGAGGAAATAAACATTTTAGGATACTTGGGATGTTGGGATGGACCAGAGGCTCAGAATTTATTTTGAATATTGAAAGGAATTTGACCTCATTTTGTACTTAAGGTTGGGGAATCAGGAATATAAGTTATAATTATAATGTAATCAGGGAGAAATAACAAAAATATAACACTGAAACAACACAAACTAAATTAGTGTTGAATCCACATAGAAAAACAGCCTTAGGCAAAAAGAGAAACTAAAAGCTTCATAGCCTTTGACTTTTCACTAAGCAATTTTGTATTTCTGTACATGATATGGAAAATATGTATGTCTATCTGAACTGCAAAGAGCTAAACCAAGGAAATATGTGCTGGTTTATCCTGGGCCAGAACTGAAATGAGAGCAGTTATTTGTTGCAGCCTGTTATGGTGATGGTAGTAAGAATCAAGAAGAGGAAACATTCAGGTGAAATAAGTACAGCTGTTCGACCAGCTAGTCTTTGCCATCTGACATATCTCCTTTTGAAGGTCTTCTTAATTCAAATAATAAAATGTTCAATGTTTTATATTTGCAAGTGAGACCATTGCCTTATAATTGCTCCATAAATTCCTATATCAGAACTCTTTCCATTGTACTCTCAAATTTTCTTTTGCAACTGATTATTTTCCTCCCTCTATTGACATTTTTTATAGTGAAACAGAAAGAAGCAATGTCTTATCATGTTTGTGAGTCATAATTTGATGAATATGAGTCATCAGTAAGTAACACTGCCATCTTCCCCAGGAATCCAAGCTAGAAATGTGGATTATCCTAGGTTGTTCCCTCTCCTTCTCCATGCATCTTGTCTTTCATCACGTCTTACAGATTCCATCTCTTTAATCTCTCTCATGTCTATTTACTTCTCCCCAAATATTTCATTGTACATCAATTCTTGCCTGAATTAATACAATAGCTTCACAATCAGTCTCTCCCACCCCTGTCACCTTTGGTCTGCATCCCTTCTCATCCATCATCCTCTTGCAATCACAATTATCTCAAAACATATCACATAAGATATTATATCCCTGCTTACAGTACTTTCCTAACATCGATGGCTTTCCTGACACACTCTGTAGCTTAGCACACAAACTCCTCCAAACCTGGAAGCCATCTCTCTAGTCACATCATGCACTCCAAACTTCATATTTTTCTTGAGCTTTTTCTACTATGTGCATTTCTCTAAACATGCCATTTCAGGCTCTGCTAGTGCCTCCTACCTGGGAGCATACTGTTTTCTTTGCCTGGACTACTATCTCCACATTGCATTGTTTTTCATCTAGCTAAGTTCTGCACATCCTTCAAATATCATATCATGCAATACTTCCCATGGGAAACTACAACCACAAGACTAATTTATATTCCAAGTTCTGGAACAAATGGATAATCTACTGTAGAAACTAAAGTTCTGTTCTGTAATAACTGATTCACATTCTGTCATTTCAACTAGGCTGTGAGCCCCATAAGGGTAGGAACAACACCTTATTGGACTATTTCTAGAACTTACTGCAGCACCTTGGCACTTGGCCAGTTCCAATAAATGTTCATCACAATTATTCTAATTATAATAAACTATTCCTTCATTACCACGAGACTGGCATGAGTCTTGTGACTTGACATTCATCTTCAGCATCAGCTTCTCTTTTGCTCTTTTGTCTTTTACCTTCTTTCATCTTTAGTCTTTTTTTTCACTAAGAGATTGAGGTCAGGACATTTTTAGACACTTATACACTTGTACCAAATAATCTGCCTCCTCTTTCATTTGTCAGTATCATATATCTCTATAATTGCAGGTGTATGGGTTGTCACTTTTAAGAGGAAATATTAATATTTTGAGTAGGAAGTGAAAAAGTTTCCTGACAGTCTTTCAACCACATCATATACTCAGCAATCTTTTTTTGCTCCTACAAAGCATAACTCTCTTGGTCAGTGTGACAGAAGCATCAGACACCCCACTGGAGACTAAATAGCAGAGATCATTGTAGTAGCGTAAATCATGTTGCATTTAAAAATCCATTGTTTCACTCTTAAGAAGCAGGTAAGATATGGTTTTGACACACATTGGAAATTAATAATGATGATGAACCCTAGGAAGATACAGCAAGAATATTTTGTTCAGGAAAGACAGAAGAAGAAGATTAAGAGTGAAAGCATTATGAAAATTAGAAAGCTTCAACAAGCAATGAAAGGGAGAATAGGTAGGTTACTGGCACATATTGAGGGACATAGTAAGCTTAAGAGCAATGAGAGAAACCCTAAAGGAAACAAGATCAGTTTACCTTCATAACAATTAAAAAATAAAACTTTATGTCAAGAGAAGTCATAAATAAAAATAAAATCAAACAACAAATAGGGAAAATGTGTGCCATAAATGTCCTTGAAATATAAAGCTCTTCTATAAAGTAATTTAAAACATTTCAATGACCCCAACTTGAAACACTGGGGGAAGACAAGATTAGATAGATCACAGAAAATAAAATAATAGCCAAAAAAGATTTGTAATAAGCATAAGCATTGCTAATAATAAAAGAAATGTGAGTAAAATAAAATGATTTTGTCTTTTAAAATTGATAATAATAAGAAAGAGTATAATACTTATAACACTCTAGCTGATAGAGCTAGAGTGCAGTGAGATAAGCATTCTCATCTATAGCTTGTGAAAATACAAGTTATACACCTTGGAAAGCAATTTGGCAATGTGCATAACAAGCTTTATAAGTACTCATAAATATTATAAATTATTATAATTGTAACTTATAAATGATTGAGCAATTCCACTTCTAGAAATTACAGACACAGATATATATATATATATATATATATACACACACACACACACACACACACATAATGAATTGTCACACGATTATGTATTATAGCAATGGTTTGGAATTAGCCTAAAGTGGTCCAAATTCCCATTGTAAATAATCAGGAGGCCAAATTCTGACTTCAACTTGGTCTGCCACAAGTAACAGCAATGAAGGTGAACAAGAGGTAGAACCTGGAGAGAACAGTGATTTTAAAACAGCAGATACTGTGGTCTTTTTTTGAACTGTAAGATCAATTTAGTGGGCCATAGCCAAAAGTAAAATATGAAATAGAAAAGAATAGAAAACAGTAAAGGGGACTTCTCTGGATAAATGTGAACAAAAGTTTCACAAAATATTTGCCTAGTGTATTTATTTAGAGATTCAGGTCACCCACCCCTTTCTTCTCCTTTAAAAAATGTTTCATGGAACATTTCAAACATTCAAAAGTAGAGAGCAAAATGATACCCCATGTCACCATCTTCTAGAATCAACTGTTATTCACAAATGCCCATCAGTTTCATCTCTCCCTTCCTGCAAACTCACTCTCATCAATGAGATCATTTCAAAGCTTACAAATCTCAGATATCAAATCATTTCATCTGAAAAAGACTTCATAATGGATCTCTAAACGATGGCTCTTTAAAAAATATATAACTATAGTTTTAATATAATACCTTAAAATTACAATAATTCCTCAATAGCCTCAAATACCCAGTTAGTGTTCAAATTTCCCCAATTGTCTCATAATTTTTAAAATGGATGGTTTTCACAACTCAGAATTCAAATGAGGTCCATGATTTCTAGGAGTCCTGATACTTCAACCAAGGAAAGACAAAGAGCCCTAGAGGGCAACAAAATGATTTTGAAATGATGTTCAATTAATGAAAATTTGTTAATTAAATACTAGCACCATAGTGGCAGCTATCGTAACTGAAATTCATGAAGACTTTTAAGAGAGAAGATAATGTGCTCATAATATAATAGGATGTAGAGTTATGGATATACAGTAGGACAGCAAATAAACATATTCATGCACACACACATACAGTTGGCTACTAGTCATTTTCATGTTTGAGAATACTTTTCCTTGTAGTAACATCACAGTGAAAATGGACAAATAAGTTCTTCATCTTGGCCTACTGGCATATATGTGCTCAAAATGCCTTTTTATATATACACTAAGAGACGACAATGAAAGGCAAAAGTGAAAGGATGCAGTGGAAGGAAAAATGGAAAGTGTAGTGAGAGGTTCACAGGGTGTGTATGTGAATTGCACAAAATTTTTGGAACTCAGATGGATTCAACTCTAACTCCACAAACTGGGGTGAGGTCTCAGAGTATTAGTAACCTCCTCCTCTTCCTGGCTGTGGGTGAACTATTGTGTTAGCAGAAGCCCTTTGAAGGCAAAGCCCGTAACAACCATGAAGGAATCCCTCCTTGAGCTAGCAAATGTTCCCCCTTGGAGCAGATTATCTAAATGTAAACATTTTACAGTTCTTGCCTTTGTTTAGCAAATAGCCAGCATGTAGAGCTGATTACATAGCACATATTGACCTACAGTGAACACAATTTTGCCCAATAGCTGATCGCTTATCATTCTCTCTTTCAAATATATGTAAAATGTATATATTATAGGTAGAGTATTAGTAGATATTATATATGTATGTATAGATTATATTTATAATATTTTAAAATATTTATACTAATATTTTATATTTATATTTTATAACATTTTAACATTTATAACACTTTAAGATTTTTAGTTGGGAGCATTCAAAGTGATTTCAGTTTTCTTGTTTATACCTTATATTCTTCATAGTCAACATATTTTCCACAATGAGTATGCATTACTTTTAAATCCAAAAAAAGAAAGAGTGCTTCTTTTTAATTAGGGGAAATAGAAAACCCTTTATTGTAACATGTATATCATGTAGATAAAATAAATATCTAGTTTTATTTTGGGTCTAAGTATCTGTCTGAACATGATATGCTTTGTAAGGTTACATGAAAATGTTGGAGTATAAACTAGAAATTATTTTGAAAAACAGACTGTCCTTGAGGTTTTTATCTGGGACAGCAATAATTGACATAGAATGAGTCTGCAAACTGTAAGCTAGTGTTTTACTTTGAAGAACAACATTGAAAATTATCCTTCAAGTTTTTAGTCATAAAACCATGAAAAGATTTTACCTGTTTTCTTACCTTTGTATGTTTTAGTTTGCAAGTAAAAGCTTATCTCCCAACCATATATCTAAACAAGGGTGCAATCCACATACATACAAAATAATAATATTAATAGCAATTTCTCAAAAACAGTGAACAGAGTCACCACTCCTATAAAAAGAACAATATATTAAGGCTAATGGTAGAAAGAACAACCTCCTTGGATAACTTCAACTTCTGTCATTGTTTTAGTTATTATTTATATTCATATAATTTCCATGTTCTTTTTCCCTGTCCAGACATCTCATAGATTCAGACGTATACATCTATCTACTGTAGCCTACATGTTCCACAGGCACTTTAAACTCAACATATACAGAACTGAGTCCTTGATCTTCCCCCTGAACCCTGAATTTTCTATCTTACATTTTTTGGTACCTCTGTTTTTTGAGACATCCATGTTTTAGACTCGGAATTGTGCTTGACTCTTTCCTCTCATCATATCCCATTTTCATTCATTCACCACCAGATTCCCTCCATAAATATTTCTCATATATTGGCCCTTTATCGGCTTGCTTCCACCACTGCTCTAGTTCAGGCCCTCAGCAGCAGCTTGTTTATTTGTCTCCTTGTCTCCCTTCTCATATCTACTCAATCTGACTTCTGCACAGCCTCCAGGGGTGTTTTGCACACACAGATTTAACCAGATTATCTCCCGGGACAAATTTCTTTGAATGAGTCACAATCACCTATAGCATAAATTCTAAACTTCTTGTCCTACTGCTTTTACATGGCCCTTCATGTCTTACTGCTCCTACTCAGATCTATGCTAAAGCAACCCTGAACTACTGATAGTTTCCCTTTCATATACCTGCTGTTTTTCAGTTTTATGCCCTTGTTCATGCTCTCCTCTCTGCCTAAATGCCATTCCCCTGTCTTTCAAGGCTGGAAATGTCTATACATTCTTTAAAAATTAGCTCTCTCAGCACTTCCTCTAGGAACTCTTGCCTCTCTCCCCACACTAATTCCTTCTATGTTCTCCTCTGTACTTGAAAAACACACTGAACATATCTATCTCATTGCATTTCCAAATCATTTTGTAATTGTCTAAGTCTGGCTTTCTCCAAAACAATGAGTTCCTTGAGGGAAGGAATTGTGTCTTATTTATCTTTATCAAATCACTTAATACTATGCCCAAGACACAGGAGGATCATGATATCAATTTTGAAAATAAAGTAATAAATGATGTGTCGAGAGTATACCGAACTGTTCTCCCCAAACCTATTGGGGATTAAGAATATGAGAACTGGGCTTGGTGCTTGGCTTTGGCAATTAATGTGTGGGAAACGCTACAAAAACTTAGACTAGAAGGCAACAAACATGCATTTAGCAAATAAGAAAATGATTCTTCGTTTACAAAGACTAGAATAAAAGGCAGGTTAAAAGAAGGAATGTGTGCTTTTCACAAGTACTGTGTTGAGTAACCCTGAATAAGAGAATAGTATTTTTAGTGGCAAATTTGGCTTAATTTTAGTTGCTTTTAGAAAATAAGACATAGTCCAGAATAAAAATCCTCACCCTTACTTTATCCACATCTGAACTCTCCCTTTCTAAATACTCCACATGCACCCCAGAAGGTAGAAACAGAGACCAGAGCTTACCCCTTCCAGTTGCAGGAAGTGGTCACTGAGATTCAGAGAAATTCTGGACATTACATGTAAGCAACTAAAATAAACTGGAGGTTGAGACATTAATATATTATAGTAAAAGGCAGCATGTCTTAGAATAGGCTGGCTCAGGGATAGCACATGTAAAAGAGCTAAAAGCAATATACATGAAGAGAAGGAAAGTAGGAGAAGGAGCTAGAATTAGAAGACGAAAGAGCACCCATGTGCCTTATCCTCTGAAGACCTAAGGAGAATCAGAGGTGGACATCTTATAAAGACTTCAGTCATGAGCTTCTGCCCCTTGTACAGTGAAGTATAATGAAGCAGGTCAGGTATGCTGACACTACAATCTGGCCCTACCTGACCCCATCCCTACTGCTTTGCTTAACTTTGGTTCAATGTTCCATTTGGTTCAGTGAGGAAATGTTTCCATCTTGAATAGGATATAGCATGTATTCAATGAAGGGGAGATAGGTGAGTCACATTCAAAGTGAGGAGCTGGTGGTCTAGTTCCATATTAGTCTAACGGATATTGACTAATCCTCAGTATGACTGTTTCTCAGGAAAGTGTTCTCATCAGGATTATTTGTCTTTCCCTGTACCTTTGAAAAGGGGCATACAAGAGTAGACAAAACTTCAATGGGAGATCCTTTAGTGGAGGTGGGAAGAATGTACCATACAGGAGTAGTACTTTGCATAGAGGAGGTTGCAGCTCTAGATTTTCACTAAGAATTTTTAAAACAGGTCAGATAGTTCTTAGAGAATTATAAGAACTAATGTTTGTAGCCTACATTATGGAGCTGGGTAGGGTATCCAAGCAAACCCATATATACTGGGGGCAAAGCCTTGCTTGTGCAAATGATGTGAGGTATGTATCTGACTTTTGACACATGAGGGACTTGGATCTATGTAAAAAAAAATTAGTGCTCTCTTTGATTCTATCTGGATGGTGATCTATACACAGTAGTATCAAACATGGCCTGGAATAATTTACACTTAATGTATTTCATTTTAATAAATTTGATGCCCTGAGTCTATGTGTACCAGATAAATCTGAATTAAAATGATAGAAAATAATGTTCACTTCATAATAAAATGATCCAAACATATTGAATTTGTGAGTCATGGACTCAAAAGAAAACCAGTTGCTTATGCAGTTTGGAAAATAAAATAACTGTCTAAGTAATGGATAATTCAACTTTACCTGAGGATCTCATACTAAGAGTTCCAAATGAAAAACATTTCAATAGCCTGAAACTATAATAGAAAATTCTATACACTTGAATTATAATGTGCAGATGACTGCATTTCTGCCTTAGACATGATTATGACCAGAGGCTAAATCCTTGAACTTCTTGTACCACATTTGTTCTATGAGTTGAATTAGAGGGCTGTGTGTTAATTCAACGTGGCTATTAAAGCATATGGAGGCTGAAATACTGACATAATACATTGTATTATAACCTGAATTGTGGGATCTGGAAATCTTTCTAATTAGGAATATTCTGTTTGGTAATTTGCTCAACTTGCAGCATGCTTTAGAACTAATATTTAGAACTAAATGGGTGTTTACTAAAATAGTAAGAAGAAAAGAAATTCAGGTCCATAGGGTTGTGGGTTCAGTGCCAAATTGTGGAAACTACAGACACTTCCTGGATTTTGTCCACATAACTTACAAACCCAGCAAGTTATACTTGCTGTTCTGGGGGGCTTTTCTTTCACCCTTCTCATTGATAAAGGGGCTCTTGCTTCTGCTGGACATCTCAGCCACCATCACAGTCTACAGATCTTTCAATGCCACTTAACATCCTCAGAGATGAACCTTATAAATAGAACCTATGCCCTCAACACCCACTTCCCTGAACCCGGAACTTCTGATGCAGCAGCTGCCATTGAAGCAGCCCAAACACTGCTGTCACATTTCATCAGCCTCTCTTCCCTCCCTCCCATGCCTTCCTCTATTGGAGCCACTACTGTGCAACCTGTGCCTGGACAGGGGCAGCAAAGTCTCCCTCTCACCATTAGAGTTGGGGAAGAGATATGATCGGCAACAAATATTAGAATTTATAAATTTTTTTTACATAAAACCAGTACTATAAATATATTTTAGTTATCAGTTTGCTCTTAAAATTAACACACACATACACAAATACGTGTATGTTCTCTCCTCTCTCCTTTCTCTTTCTCTCTCTCTCTGTAGAAATAATAGTATTATAAAATCTACCTAACTGCCACATGAACATTGTCGGGAAAACACAATAAACGTTTCTGTAGCCAGCTTGCAAAATTTTGGAATAAATGTCATTTGTAGGTTGGGATCAACAAGGATAAGCTAAATATGATTAGTCACAAATCAGATTTTTAACTTTTCCCACCAATTTACAGTGGAGGAAAATTCACTTTGTTATTATTCACAGCCATGTGAACTAGAAGTTTATCTCATAATCAGATTCAAGGCATGTAGTAACAAAAGAGATATAAGCAAAATGCTTATTTCAGATGTGTTGTGAAATCCACTGAATCATTGTAGGCTGGCTGGAGATGAGTGTAACAGGAAACCAGGACAACATAAGATACTGACATTTAAGGTGAATAAATCAAAGAAATCATGCTTGATTGGTATCTTCCTATCTTAAAAGGATTTTAGAAATGTTTTCAAAAGAGCAGAGCTAATGGTACAGCAAGTAGCACTGAGTTGAACAAGAAATTTAATTTTTGTTCTAAATATGCCACTAATCTGGACAGGTAACTATATCATTTCATACAAATGATTTCTATATCTACATATAAACCATTTGGAGTAGGTGATTTCTAACATCCCCTAGAATACAATAATTTATGTCTTCGCTTAATAATTAGAGAAGCAACATTGAATTGTTTGCTACCCTAGGATATTGTTTATAGAGAATAGACAGTTGTGAGATGTATCCTGGTAATTGTCTTTTTCATGAAATGAACAAAAAAATAATTTGTTGTGTTTTTAGAGCCTATTTCTGCTGTATGAAATCTTTCCTCAAAATACAAAAGGCTCATATTCTTTGGGAAATGTGCCATGGAAAGGAAATGAATGCATTAACCTGGCAACTGCTGGTGGTGACTAGTGAAAAATTTGGAGGCTTGTTTATCTAAAGGTTAGCCAAAATTCTGGTAAAGAATATGGACTGGAGTTCCCTCAAACACAACATTTTATGTGAGGCTTCCAATACTTGTGTAAGTAATTATGCAGAAGACCAGCTTCCTGTACCATTGTTACAATATTAGTAATTCCTTTTTCAAATCTAGAAACCAAAAGGCATTCAAAATCTAAAATAAATGTAATTATTAGTTTTCCTTTTAGTAATGTAAGAGTGACATGATAATAGAATTTTGAATAGTAATACATTTGTAAAACAACTGAACTAATCCATATTGACAGTATCTTTTCTTTCAGACTTATGTTCCTTGCCCAGATCGGTTATCTGCGAAATAGTACATTATATCTCAATGGCCTCCAAGATATTGCTGTTTGGATGTGCTGCCTTCATCATAAAAAAAAGTCCCAAACTTACTCATCTCTCCCACTTGAAGCTATTTTTCTTTGCTCCTTGCTTTTAGTACCACCCTGTTAGAAATTTTGGAGCAATCTCTGACTCCTACCTTCCTTTTCCTAACATTATTCTATCCAGTTTGCCGCCACACTTTTTCTTCCAAATAATTTCTTCCTTCCAAATGTTGCTGATATTGACCCTTTTTTTGCTCTTCATACTGCTCTGTGCTTACCTCTATTGAGTAACTCCTAGATTACTTAATCAAATACCTTGTCGGACTCCCTATTTCTAGATTTTCTTTTTTTTTGAAGACATGGAACATATTACTTCACCTCGGAATTTATTCCCTGTATATATCACCATTTCAAAATGAATAATTCTATTTTTACTCTTAAATCAAATTGTAACTGGCAGTTTGGCTTGACTTTCAATGTCTTTTATAATTCATATTCTCTTACTTACATAATCCCTGCAATAATTGTTCTGTTTTCATTTACAATGTTATGGAATCTGCTGTGGCTAAATGGGAGAAATAGGAGATTTATTTGAAGCACCAAAGGAAGAATTACCAGAACTCACACAAGATTGGAAATAGTTCAAGTTTCCTATCAGCCAGAGTACAGAAACCTTATAATATATAGGTTATTGGGCAAAGTTGTAGGGGCAACTTAGACCTATGCTTGAGGCTGCTCTGGACATCACCAAACATAGCTTTAAAACAAGCGTCAGAAATTTATAACTGATTCCCAATAACTTGTCTACATTTCAAGACAAAGGGCATAATTCTTCAAAGGAATACAGAAGTACCTAGCATCAAATAATGTAAAATCCACAATGCCCAGTATGCAATTAATATACTGTACATACAAAGATGGAGGAACAGATGATCTGTACCTGAAATATATATATATATATATATATATATATATATATATATATATATTTCAGTCTAGTTGCCCAGACCAGAGTGCAATGGTACAATCTTGGCTCACTGCAACCTCTGCCTCCTGGGTTTCAGTGATTCTCGTGCCTCAGCCTCTTGAATAGCTAGGATTACAGGCACCCACCAACACGCCCAGCTAATTTTTGTATTTTTATTAGAGATGGGATTTCACCATGTTGTCCAGGCTGGTCTTGAACACCTGACCTCATGTGTTCCACCTACCTCAGCCTCCCAAAGTGCTGGGATTACAGGTGTGAGCCACTGCACCCAGCCCTGAAATAAAATATTAATTAACGGAAATATACTCAGAAATGACAAAGTAGAAATGACTGGTCGCCAAATGTAAAACACCTAATATATATTTGATAAATATGCTAAAAAATTTATATGGTAAGAAGAGAATATGGAAGACGTGAAAATAACCCAAATTAAGTTTTAGAGAGAAAATATATAATACCTGAAATAAATAATACATTTGATGGAATTAACAGCAGATTAGAGACACTGCTCAAGGAAAAAAATCAGTGAACTCTCAAAGCTGTAATGATAGAAACAATAAAAAAACAGTGGCTCAGTAGGATAACATGTGTAATTGGAGTTCTAGAAGGAGAGGAGATGGATAACAGGAGGATCTGGGAGAGTGGTAGAGAGGGAGCTTAGAAAAAAAATGCTTGAAGAAATAAAGTCTTAAAATTTTTCAAATTTAATAAAAACTATAAACTCACAGCTGTTAGAAGCTCAATAAAAACCAAGCAGAACAAACATGTAAAAAATAAAATTACACCAAGGAACCAGTACATCAAAAATTGTGAAAAATACATCAAAGTGTGAAAAATCCAGGACAAAATCTTAAAAAACAAAGAAAAGGACATTCACATGCAGAGAAAAAAGGGTAAGAATTACAAAAGGTATCCATCAGAAACTACGCAAGCTAGAGAAAATTCAGTGACATCTTTAAAATGTTTTAAAAAAAACCCTGTAAAACTGGAGTTCTATACCCACTGAAAGTATCTTTCAAAACCAAACTGAAATAAAAATTTTACAAATAAAAATAATTTGAGAAAAAAATTTAAAAACTTTTATATAATCCATGGGTCAAAGCAAAAATCATGAGCATTTAGAAAATATTTGAAATAAATTGAAATAAATATATAACAAATTTTAGAATGAACCAAAGCAGTGCTTAGGGGAAAACGGTAGCAAAAATATTCTCATATTAGGAAAAATGGCCACAATTCAATAATCTGAGATAAGAAAAAAATAAAATAATAAACATAAAAGAAGAAATAAAATTAAGGACAGAAAAACAATGAACATCTGCGAAACCAAAAGCTTGTTCTTTGAACACACCAATTAAACTGGTAAACCTCCAGCTAGGTTGATCAAGAAAAAGAAATAAATTATTCATATCAGGCATCAAAAGGGGACACATCGCTCCATAACCTACAGATAGTAAAGGCATAATAAGGGAATATTATGAACAACTTTATGTTAATAAATTTGACAGCTCAGATAAAACGGATGATTTTCTTGAAAGATACAAACTATCAAAGCTCCACTGAGGAAATAAATAACCTGCAGGGTCCTATATATAAGCTCATGCAAAGATGTTCACTGTCATTCATCATTAGAGAAATGTAAATTAAAACCACAATGATGTAGCACTACATTAGTGGTTCTCAATATGGGGAGGCGTTTTCCTCCAGGAGCCTTTTTTCAATGTCTGAATACAGTTTGGGTTGTTATAACTGGAGGGATGCTAACTGACATCTAGAGGGTAGAGGATACGGATATTGCTAAATATCCTACAATGCACAGGACAAAAATTATCTGGCCCCAAATGTCTATAGTGCTGAGGTTAAGAAATCTGATACTACACACACACCAGAATAGCTAAAATTAAAGTGACCTATAATACCAAAGATGACTAGGATGTGGAATAAAAGGAACTCATATATTACTAGTAAGAATGAAAAGTGTTAACAAAATCTTTGGCAGTTTCTAATAACATTAAACATGTGCTTATCATATCCAATAATCCTACTAATAGATATTTAACCAAGAAAAATAAAAACCTTTGTCTACACAGACTTGTGTGTTCATACCCACTTTATTAATATTAGACACAGACTATGAGGAATTCAAATGTCCATAGACTGGTGAATGAATGAACAAATCGTGGCATATCTTTATAGTGGAATAGTACTCAGCAAGCAAAAGGAATAAACTACTGATAAATAGAACGCATGGATGACTCTCAAAAGCATTAGTCTATGGGAAAGAAGCCATAGCCAAAAAACAGTACAGACTGTTCAGTTCCAGTTAAGTGAAATTCAAGAAAAAGTCACTCTATAGTACTAAAAAAGTGGATCAATGGGGCCAGTGTGGGAGTTGAGGATCAAATACAAAGGGCCAAAAGGCATACTTTAGGGGGTGATGAGAACATTCTATATCTTAATTGTGGCGGTGTGTAGATTACTGTACACATTAGCCAAAGCTCATGAATTGTACACTTTAAAATATAGAAATTTCATTGTATGTAGATTATACTTCAAAATGTACTGACCAAACTAAAAAGAAACTGCATGCCAAATTAGGGAAATCCCTTCTGTAACTGTTGTTTCAAAACCACTCAGTCTCTGCCAAAATCGCGAAGCCTCTTGCCTAACGAGGAAGTTGCCTCTACAATGCCATAGTTCACACCACCAAACTGGATGCTTAGCACCTGCCTCTCTCTCCTCAAACACTCTTCCAAACTAATGGAGGGAAACCTATGTCTCAGCTGGAATCCTAGCTGCAATGAAGTGTGAGCAATGTGTTCCTTAGCTATTCAGGTTTCATAGTATTGTATGTTAAGATATATTAAACAGAAGTTGGAACCGAAAATGCATAAGCCATTCCAGAATATTCACAATTCCTCAGCCCACCTTCATGTAGTGACTTGAAGTGCTAGTATTTTTCCTACTTCTCCCATATAATATATTTATTTTCTTCTTTGTCAGCTGGGATGGCTCCCTTGCTGCCTCCCAACTTTTCTCTCTCACTCACTGTCAAATACTATTTTCTTTTTATCTGGAACCTTACTATCTTTCAAATTCTTGCTCCAGTTCCTTCTTTCTGACAGTAATGTCCTTAGATGCAGGGAGGAAAAATTTACATTTCAGGGGGCCCCATGTTTTGGAGGTGCCTTTATAAAAAATTTCTCATTATTCTTACAGTGGTATATAATGGTGGAGGGGACTAGGGTAGGCAGTGCTTTTTGGGTGGGGAATCAGAGTGGACCAAGACCTCTGTTATGGCTGGTCCCTCTTTCTTCTCTTTAGAGTGTTGGCTTCCCCTCTATTCCGCACTCCTGTTTTTGAGGTCCACAACAAGACTCTAGGAGCTCCAGACTCAGGCCTCTGGGTTCTTCCTGGTCCTTGGGAGTGTGCCCACATTTCAGGAGGGTAGCCTGGCCAGTGGATCACTCCTATTGACTAGTACAGTATTTCTTTTATGGGATCATGTGAGTTAGTGCTGCCAGAATGGGGCTGAAACTTGATTTGGGGTGATTCTGACATATCAGACACAGAACTCTGGGTTCAGAGCTCTGGGTTAACCACTGACCCTTGGGCTTGAGCCATACGCGTGGGCCAGTGTGTCACCTCTCCCTTGTCTGTGGTCCGACTGCAGCTCTGCTCTGTCTGTTAACACCCTACCCCTTTTGCAGTCCTCACACAATGAGGGAGACAGTAGCCCAGAGGTGGCCAAGCCTATGTCCTCCAAGGGCACTGTTGCCCAGCTGCACCAAGTGGCTCTTTCGACGGATGACTCATTGATATGGTGAGGTGTTCTCCAAGGTCTCTCTTAGGCCATGCAGAATAGGGACGAACCTTTCTCGCTCATTCTACCCCTGGACTCCTTGTCTATTCTCCTGCTGTAATGTGTGGAAGGCAGGGGTATAATAATAAGTTGATGGCTAACTATTCTGTAGCTGCAGCCGAAATGTTAATTTTCCCAGTGGAGGTAATTTAAGATCTTGAAGAGGCACTATATCTTATATTTCTTTTTCATTTTTCATTGCACCTAGCTTTCTATTAGGCACTAGCATGTAATTATTATTTTGTTCATTTTCCTCTGATAGGTTGCTTGAAAGACCCACAAAATAGTCAACTTTCTCAATAAGTAGAACATTTTATTTAGAGGATCAAATGCTTAATATTTTGTCTCTAAAAGAAAGAAGGTATTAAATAATAGTGATTTAGTGCCCAGAGGTCAGCTTTCCTCAAATAAAAGTAGAATACAGTACATATATTTTTTTTTTTATTTTGAGGCAATTTCAGACAAATTTTGCTTTTGAAACTCAGTTCTAAGTGTGTTATAGTGTCAAAAACTAAACCATTTTTTGCATGGTATGAAAAAATATTAAATAAATGAACACAGATTTCTTGAATGTAAAACAAGTGCCTTTTCCTTTTTTTATAAATTATTTTCCCTTCAAGAAGTGCTTCTTATGGCATTGTGCTGATGCTGACAGAAGTGATTCTGATTTCCTTTCTCTGATGTGTGGTATGGCTTTTGAGGTCAATGTGATGTACTTCAGTGTGACATGAAAGTCATAATGAGATTTATGGTATTGACTAGAATCTTATTCCAGCCAGATTTTTTCTTAACACTCTAAGCCTGACATCAATTTGAATGATGAATGCACTCAGTTTGAATTTTCTTTTGGCATACAGACAAATAATGGCATAAAAATATCTCATTTGGAGTGGATACCTGGTTCCAAGTCTATCAAAATTCTATGTTAATACTAAACTTGAGGCAGAAAAGATTTTGATGCTCGTTCTTTTTAAAATAAACACATTTACTTGTATATTTGATGTGAAAATTCTTGTAAGCTGATTTATATTTATGTCAGAATAATATCTTCAAATGTGAGTTTGGTTGAATAGAATGGGAGGAGGGCATGAGTGAAAAAAGGTAAAAATGGGTAGAAAAAATAATGATTACAATATAGAAAAGAAGATAAAATGGTCCAAGAAAAAAAAAAAAAACAACCAAGCAAAAAAATGTAAAACTTTGAAATAAAGGAACAGCCCAGGGACATAGGAACATAGAAAGGAACAAACAACTTATGTTTTATTTTATTTAAATACTTTGAAGTGCACAATTGCAAAGGCTCTGCATACATTAAAATATAAGTACTTATTTTAAGAATAAAATGGTAAGTTTGTGATGAGTTGAGAGACTGAGAGCCAAAGATTAGAAAAAAATTAGTAAGATAACGTTATTGAATGTTTATTAAATTATCCAAGTTGCTTTTTTTATGTGGAAGCATTTCCAATAGTGTATACTGAGAACTGCAGAGGAAAGCAAAAATCTTGTAGAGAACCCAGAGTTCATACTTCCAAGACTATTCTGTTTTTAGAATAGTCAGTGATGACAATAATTTTTTTTTTAACTTTTATTTTAAGTTCAGGGTACATGTGCAGGTTTGGTATATAGGTAAATGTCACGGGAGTTTGTTGTACAGATTGTCATACAGGTACTAAGCTTAGTACTAAATAGTCATTTTTTTCTGCTTCCACCCTCTACCCTCAGGTAGCCCCTAGTGCCTATTGTTGTCCTCTTTGTGTCCATGTGTTCTCATCATTTAGCTCCCATTTATAAGTTAGAACAAACAGTATTTGCTTTTCTGTTCCTGCATTAGTTGGCTAGGAATGACGGTTTCCAGCTCTATCCATGTTCCTGCAAAGGACAAGATCTTTTTCTTTTTTATGGCTACATAGTATTCCATGGTATATATGTACCACAATTTCTTTATTCAGTCTGTGGTTGATAGACATTTAGGTTAATTCCATGTCTTTGCCATTGTGAACAATGAACACATTCATGCACGTGTCTTTATGACAGAACGATTTATATTCCTTTACATATATACCCAGTAATGAGGCTGCTGGGTCAAATGGTAGTTCTGTTTTTAGCATTTTGAGGGATCACCACACTCTTTTCCACAATGGTTGAACTAATTTAAACTCCTGCCAACAGTGTATAAATGTTCCCTTTTCTCTGCAACTTCACCAGCTCTGTTGACAATAACTAGTTTTCATAAAGTTAATCATTTATATCAAATAAACTGTCAATTCTGGGGTAAAGTTTAGATGTGAACTTTGGTGTGCTAACTTGCTAGGCTAACAGGACTTTTTGGAATCAGACATATATTCAGCTGTTCTAAACCTTTTCCTTGCATATTGAATTTAGATATAAATTTCAATGTGCGGATTTTTAAAGCATGAGTTAATTCAAGCAATAGTTATTAAAAACATCATCAGTTAATTATAAGTTATTTGAATTCCATTTGTAGTTTTCAAAAAATTTAGTTATTTGGCTAAATTTAACCATTAAAAATGTTTTTGTTGCAAGCTTGTTTCAGAAAAATACTGAAATTTGATAGTCTAAAGCATGCTGCTTTCTGTATTTTACATTAACTATTTGTTCTTTTTAAAATCATATATTTTATTTATAATTTTGAAATATTGAAATACCTCCATTTGTAAAGGAGAAGAGTTTAAAAATTTCCATAAATTCTTATCCCGTTTAAAGTTTATAAAAGGAAGTCATTATGAAGAAAACTTCCTTGGAATGAAAAAATGTAGAAGAAAACTTTCTTAAAGGAAAGTTTAGAAAATATTAGAAAGATTCACAGTAAAAACAATGTCAGGAAATTTCTTTTGATCACTTAACTATGAGGCATTCATTGCATATCATATTTATAGTTTAAAAATTGGGACTCAAATTATATGTTATTAATATGTATTTTTATAATCATAAGATACTAGATTTATTTCTCATATCTGCTTAGAATAATTATGAGTTTATTATTTACATTGTCATTATAATTAAATTACAATTTTTAATTTAGTGCCAAAGCTAGAAACTTAAGTCTTGTAAAAGATCTCTGAATAAACTCTTCTGGAAAAGACTAAACTCCCTTTTACTACAATAATGCACCACCCCAGACAGTCAATGAAGTTTGGTGACCATTGAACCAAATTTAGTTAATTGTTCGTAGTTAAGTAGTAGAAAAAAAAAAGGCAATTGGTAATACAGATCTGAATTCAAATTCACAACCACAACTATAGATGTTTAAGTAAGTGATTACAGGTTTTGCTTTTGTAAACTTGGGGAGAATTGTGAGAATTTACAAAACTATGTATGTATAGCATGAAGCTTTACCTATGCTAGAGACTTTCCACAGGTTTGGAGGCAAAATCTTAGCATTTAAAGTAAACGTGTCTCTCATTATCTGAGAGTTCAAAACAGGTAGAACTAAGGTAGAATGTGTGTGTATGTGTGTGTGTGTGTGCTTGCGTGTATGTGTGTGTGTTTAACATGTATTTTCAAACATTTGGATTAAATCCAGAGTTGTGTTTTAGGTATACATCAAGCACAACAGTAAGGTGGTGATGAGAGAACTGAGCATTTGCACTCACTTTAACATTAACAATCTTGTAATCTGCTTTAGCAAATATTTATATCTATTAACAATTGAATGAACTTAGCAGTATTACCTGAGGTGTGGTTCACCAATAACAATAAGGCAATTTGGTTTGCACATTTATGTCTAAAGAACATTTTGATCTGAGATATAATGAGAAACAGAGTGAAGGAAATGTTTTCTGGTGACACTAATGTGTACGGGCAGGTACATCACCAAATCAGAGTATGTAAGAGTAAAATTCTGGCATGTGAGCAACTCTATTTCGGAACACCTCTCCACTAATTTTTTCCAAACTTTGTTACTTAAGGAGGTAGGAATGTCATGCTAAATCAATATTCTCAAACTGTTAAAGAATGGGGAAGAACAAAACAAAGTAAGAAGAAAATATGTTTAAAGTTTAAACTCTGTGGGACATCCAATCAGCAAAATAAATTAAGTGTTACAGACTTTGTATTCTGTGGCTATTTTTACAGCTCTGATAAATGTAACCCACAGGATTTATGCACTACCTGAAGTCAAGTTGTTATTGTATACAGATGCAGTGTCAACTCCAACACCACAGTGCATTACACACGCTCTAACTTACTAAATGTTTTGGACCATTGGGATATCAGTAGAAGAATTTATGAGAGTTGAAAAATTCAGACGCCTATGAACAAGACACTTCAGGTTCCCTGAGCAAAGTCTGAAATCACTTTGCACTTGCTTGTTAATCTCAGGTTGAAAAGAATGATGAAAAATGTTATGGACGAGCCCTTCGCCACAGTGAAACTCTGCATGCAAAGCCAGTGTGAAACTAACAGAACTGTTCTTCCATCCAAAGAAGGGAATGTGATGGAGGCCCTTAAGCTTTCTGGCAGGTTGCTCTTGGTGAACTCAATGTTTTTTTCCATACCATTCTGGGTAAGGGAGATTCATAATAAAAACACTGTCAGGAAATTTCTTTCGAGAACTGACAAAGTTTGGCTGTATCCCAATCCAAATCTCACCTTGAATTGTAGTTCCCATAATCCCCACGTGTTGTGAGAGGGACCCGATAGGAGGTAATTGCATCATGGGGCAGTTACCCACATGCTGTTCTTGTGATAGTAAGTGAGTTCTCACAAGACTTAATGGTTTTATAAAGGGCTTTTCCTCCTTCACTCTGCAATTCTCCTTCCTGCTGCCATGTGAAGAAGGATGTGCATGCTTCCCCTTCTGCCATGATTGTAAGTTTCCTGAGGCCTCCTCAGCCCTGCAGGACTGTCAATCAACTAAAACCCTATCCTTTATAAATCACCCAGTCTCAGGAAGTTCTTTATAGCAGTGTGAGAATGGACTAATATAGTAAATTGGTACGGGGAGTGGGGTGCTGCTATAAAGATATCCAAAAATGTGGAAGTGACTTTGGAACTATGTGACATGCAGAGGTTGGAACAGTTTGGAGGGCTCAGAAGATGACAGGAAAATGTGGAAAGTTTGCAACTGCCTGGAGACTTGTTGAATGGTTTTGACCAAAATGCTGATAGTGATATGGACAATGAAGTCTAGGCTGAGTTGGTCTCAGATGCAGATGAAGATGAGAAACTTGTTGGGAACTGAAGCAAAGGTGACTATTATTATGCTTTAGCAATGAGCTAAAGGTAGCATTTTGACCCTGCCCTAGAGGTCTGTGGGACTTTGAACTTGAGGGAAATGATTTAGGGTATCTGGCAGAAGAAATTTCTAAGCAGCAAAGTGTTCAAGAGGAAGCAGAGCATGACAGTTGGAAAAATTTGTAGCCTGACAATGTGGTAGTAAAGAAAAGCCCATTTTTTGGAGAGAAATTCAAGCCAGCTGCAGAAATTTACATAAGTAATGAAGAGCCAAATGTTAATTACCAAGACAATGGGGAAAATGTCTCCAGGGCATGTCAGAGACCTTCACTGCAGCCCCTCCCATCACAGTTCTGGAGGACTAGGAGGGAAAAATGGCCTTGTGGATAAGGCCCAGGGTCCCCTGTTCTATGGAGCCTTGAGACATGGTGCTCTGTGTCCCAGCTGATTCAGTTCCAGCCATGGCTAAAAGGGGTCAAGGTACAGCCTGGGCCATTGCCAAAGAAGGTGCAAGCCCCAACCCTTGGTGGCTTCCACACAGTGATGGTCCTGCAGGTGTGCAGAAGACAAGAATTGAGGTTTGGGAATGTCCACCTAGATTTTAGAGGACATATTGAAATACCTGGATGTCCAGGCAGAAGACTGCTGCAGGGCACAGCCCTCAAGGGGAACAACTGCTAGGACAATGTGGAAGACACATGTGGAGTTGGAATTCCCACACATAAGGGCACTGCCTAGTGGAGCTGTGAGAAGAGGGCCACCATCCTCCAGGCCCCAGAATCGTAGATTCACTGGCAGCTTGCACCATGCACCTGGAAAAACTGCAGACACTCAATGCTAACCCATGAAAGCAGCCAGGAGCGGGGCTGTACCCTGCAAAGCCACAGGGGTGGATCTGCCTAAGGCTGTGGGAGCCTACCTCTTCCATCAGCATGACATGGGTGTGAGACATGGAGTCAAAGGAGATCATTTTGGAACTTTAAATTTTAATGACTGCCCTATTGGATTTTGGGCTGCATGGGGCCTATAGCCCCTTCATTTTGGCTAATTTCTTCCATATGGAATGGGTATATTTAACTAATGCTTGTACCCCCATTGTATCTAGGAAGTAACTAACTTGCTTTTGATTTTACAAGCTCATAGGTGGAAGGGCCTTGCCTTATCTCAGATGAGACTTTGGACTTGGACATTTGGTTTAATGCTAGAATGTGCTAAGACTTTCAGGGACTATTGGAAAGGCATGATTGTGTTTTGAAATGTGAGAACATGAGATTTGGAAGGGGCCAAGGGTGGAATGATGTGATTTGGCTGTACCACCACCCAAATATCATCTTGAATTGTAGTTCCCATAATCCCCACGTCATGGGAGGAGCTCAGTGGGAGGTAATTAAATCATGGGGGCAGTTATCCCCATGCTGTTCTTGTGATAACGAGTTCTCACGAGATCTGATGATTTTATAAGTGGCTTTTTCCCCTTTGCTCTGCACTTCTTCTTACTGCTGCCATGTGAAGAAGGACATGTTTGCTTCCCCTTCCACCAAGTTTGTAAGTTTCCTGAGGCCTCCCCAACCCTGTGGAACTGTGAGTCAATTAAACATCCTTCCTTTATAAATTACCCTGTCTTGGGCAGTTCTTTATATCAGTGTGAAAACTGACTAATACAAGCACTAAGAATATTACTGCTGTGTGTATGCAAGTCTTGAGAATTCTAGTCTTTTTTAAAAAAAATATCAATTTCCTGATTACAATATATTTTAATGATTAGAAGGCACAATGGAAATCAGCCCTGTAGTCTACGTTGAGGAAAAGGAATCAGAAGACAGTCCATGTTTATGGTCAAACTCACTAGTAAGCGTAGTCTAACAGCTGGTTGTGTTTCTGGTCTTCTATCACTAAGTGGACCAGATTCAAACATATTGACCATTAACTTGATGGACTGGAGTGGTCAAATGGTTGAAATGATAATATTTGACTGTAAAGTAAAGCATAGATTTTTAATTGCAGCAGAAGAGTATTCATTTTATTAATTTAACTAAGCTTTTCCAGTTTTTTCCAAATTCAATAAATGAGGCCCTTCAACCTAAAAAGGATAGGTTCTATTTTAACTTATAAGAATTTGAATTATGTTTTTATTACAAAATTTACTCACATAAAATTTCATCCATATTTCACACATACTTTTAAGTATCATAAGGCTGGATATTTGCATGTAAGCTTACCATGGTATAAAACCACTTTTTATTCATATTCTAAATTATAATTTTTTTCTGTCATATTAAGCATGTGCATTTTCTTGCCTGTGACAAAGACTTAGGACACATGTTTGCTGCTTATGACATACATCTCAGAGTTTCCTGGAGAAGAAATACCAGTTTGACCAAACATTGGAAGGTTCCACCCTTCTCACTAATATGTAAATATACATCATTTTGAATTGTTAGGCTTTTGTTCCAAATCCCATTGCATTCCCTTCAAAGCTAGGCTGAACCATGAGAAAACACCAAGGATTGTCTTCCTTGAAGCTGGTTGACCTACAGCCTATAAGAAACATGCTGAACATCTTCCTTGTCTCTTTTTTTAGGGCCTAACTCTAATATCAGTCCCTCCAGATCTTACCATATTAATCAAGAAAAAAGTCAAGTCCCAAGGAAATGTCCTTTGAAAAAAAAATAAAGAGGAAAAGAACATTCCTTTTGCTAGGATATGAAAAAAAGTTGAGATTATCTAATTTAGGCCTTGTTAAAAAGGGTTCCCCATAGAACCCAAGCAAAAGGTTCCCAACTGCCAATCTGACTAGGACCTGGGGTGGAGAGAGAGAGGTAGGTATTTCTACTGCAGGAAGCCTCACGCATTGACTTGCTCATATGCACTCCCAGTTTCTAAGAAGAGTTGAAACTATTCCCAATCTTATTTGACTCTGGAACCATTTTAAGGAAGCACTGCTTTAATCCAGTGTTCTCCAGACCAAAAATGTTAATCCCTCTAATACGGTTAATGTGAGGATTAATCCCATTAACACTGAACATCACACCTGGCAGAGGGCTATGCATGTAACATTTCCAAAAATAATACACTCACAACTGGAAAACCTTCTATTTAAATCCTTAGATAATCAGCTAATTGCACTTCATATTTACTGCTCTATATAGGGTCTAAGACACACAGGAACATTAAAAGAATTATTTCAAAATGACTTTATGTCATTAAAGTGTGTCCTCAAATAAAAAATTATATATTTTCTATTAAGTGCATATGTCTTGAGGAAGTTTAGAAAACCCTTCTCTATGCTCCTGACCAAGTATGACTTTAACTTTATTTTTCTATGAATCCCTATGTAAATGAGGGAAATAATAAAAGTCTCTTGAGAGACTATGTGTTACATTACTGCATATGTTACAGCTAATCAATATTAATTAATGTGTTCCATTGAATAGACTGAGAGCTAGCTACCTCTCAGATATATCTTTGAAGGACTTTCTTATAGCAGTTGAAAGAATAATTCAAGTTTTGAAAAAAATATTATCATCTATGTATTTATCTATATCTGTATTTGTCCTTATATTGATATGAATTTTCATATTGCCAATATATATCTCCCTAAATAAAGGAATACTAGTAGGACAAAAATCCAAATAATAATAGTAATATCTTAGGGTGGTAAAGTTATGGGTGACTTTAATGTTTTTATAGTTTTTTTCCCTTTCTGGATTGTCTTCAATAGAGGTTGTCTTTATAATTAGAACAAAATAATATTATAGCAAAAATAATATTAAAATTTTTTTCAGATTTCAATTTTCTTTTATGTAACTGAGAAAGAACTAGAAATTTGTTTTTCTTGATAATAAATAGATGTAAACCTTTCCCTTTATCCTTCCCCAATTTATCTGGAATTTTAGGCTCTTTTTGAGCCAACAGGAAAAATCTCTCCTGAGACCATCTAATGATATGGGTAAGAACAACAGCTCATTTCCAGGCAGACATGTGATTCAGCTTCTGAGGTCAGAGTGGCCCAGTGCAGCAACAGTCATCAAAATAAAAGATGCTTTGTAACACTCCATAGTCTCCCTATCCAAAAAGGTAGGAAAGTTTTCAATATTATCTCACCAAAGATCTAGGTCTTTGCCAGTAAATCCATTTACAAGGCTTACTTTGATTGAAGATTTCTAAGAATCTAGCAAATTATAATTTCTTGGTTATATAGTAACACTTTATAAGAAATTATACTAAAATATGTCAATAGTCTCAATTTCTTTGCAGCACAACAGTAATGGAAATTTACTTATGATTTGTTTGTATATATATATATGTACAAGACTCAATAAAACACTAACATAATGTCCTATATATTTTATTCTGCAAAGATAATTTATTCTCTGATTGGAACAGTTATAAAACCAATTGGAGGTAAAAAATAGTTTATCAAAGTCTTTAAAAGTTGCCTGAAGAAGTCTGCATTTATAAAAAAATGATGTTATCTTGAAACAATTTCTTATGTGGTTAGCAAACCAACTATCTCTTCTTTACCAAAGGTTGATGATATACTATAGCCCCAACTAGGGAGTCACCAAAGTGTGTGTGTGTGTGTGTGTGTGTGTGTGTGTGTGTGTGTATATATTACATATATATGGATAAAATAATAATCCAGATACATATGGATAAAATATATATTTGTATCCATACATATGGATATATATCCATATATATGTATATATACATATATACATATATACATATATGTATATATGTATATCCATATATACTTACATATATAAACATATTATATATTTATATAAAGTATATTTCATATATTTATAAAATATATAATCTATATTTTATCCATATATATCCATATATATGGATAAAATAATAATCCATATATATATGGATAAAATAATGATATAAAGAAACAGGAGCCATTCTGTGCCACAGATTTGCTGTTAACATATAGATGTTCAGGATAGACTTTATTTTCATCCTGGACCCAGAGAAGGAAAGGGCTCTTAATTATACATTCTACCTATTAATTAATAGGAAAAATGTTCAGATTTTTCTCATAGAAGAAATGTAACTTCAGAACATCCTTCAGTGAGAAAGAGGAAGGCACCTGACCCAGCTGGAAAATATCACAGTTTTGTTATTTGAAAGTGCCACTCTTGAAGGCTGAACTGTTTTTCACAATGCCATATAAATATATACACACAAAAGTATATAATTTTAGAAATGGCAAGATCAGAGGACAGAGAGAGAAACAAACTTTAGCCTAAGTCAAGTGTTAGTTGGCTGAGTTAGGAGGACGGGGAAAAACTCAGCTGGTAATCCTTGAGAAGGAAAAATGAAAACTGTTCTAAAACTTTAAGAGATTTAATTTAGAGTTCTGTTTGGAAATTTTAGGCTTAATAAGTCTCTAGTCATATTCAAAACTAAAGTAGGTAACCATATATGAAAGAAATGAAGTGATTGAACCAATTGCTGGCAGTGATTGGGGCCAAAGGATAAAGCATCAATAATGATTAAATATGTAGTCTTGAAGTCTGTTATTCTAGACAGTGGAATAAGAAGAAACATTGGCATGGAGACCCAATTGTGGCTGGTTTTAAAACTACAAGTAAATAAAACAGGCTCTTATACACCTGTGGCAATTCCTAAGGGTCACGAAGCATCTTAAAAGTGGCAAAGTAACAGCAAATATATTTTTAAAATAATGTTTGCTACTTTGGATGACATGAGAGAAAATAACTTATGCTCAGTTTTACCCACAGAAGGAGCCAGAATGTTTCAAAAAACACCCATTGCATAACTACACTGCTTCTTGGATGATCTGCCCAAAGAAGATGTCTCTAGCAGATCCTGGGAGCTGCTAGAAAAACAATCCTGTTGATACAGTAATGGATTTTGAAAATTAAAATAGCTTAATATGTAATAGGTGTATGTGCACATGCGTGTTCTAGTCATATGCTACAGGAATAGATTCTGTAACTAAAATTACATTTCAGATTGTGATAGGTATATTTTTTTTGCCCTCCATAACGCCTGTGCACCTTGCTTCATGCACTTAGGGAGAGTCCAGCCTCAACAGGCAACATTGCTCTCATTGCTCTCTGTATACCATTGTTTACTATGGTGATGAGTTATGCTGTAAAAATTCCTTTTTTACTCATCTTCCTAGCTTTTTTATTGCAAACCCTTTTTAATTGACTTCATGACTAAATGGTAGTTACTTAGTAAAATGATTAGCAGTGCTTTAAAATACTAAGCATCTACTGTGGGTTGGTTTTTATGCAATACCATATTGATCCTCAGAATAACAAACTAAGGTATATATTATTATTAATTTTTATAAAATGCAGAAACAAAAGGACATAGAGGTCAACAAACTTGTCTAATTAGAAAAAAATTTTGATTGATTTCAAATCCCAGCCCTGTTTATTATTATTATTATTATTTAAAATAACTATTTATTGAATCCTACTAAATTGTATTTTCTTCCAGAGAATACTGCCATATAAATTTGAATTATCAAACTTTGCTTCTTATTACTTTTAGCCTTTTCTTCTAGGGCTTTTCCACTCTTTTATTTGAAAGAAGCAACCCCTTCTTAATTTTCTTATTGAACATATTTTACCTACAACAGATTAAAATACAGTCATCCTAGCAACAGATTTATTTAGATGATACGTATTAATCCAGTTACTGAGAAACTAAACTGATAAATTAGATCTTAGTCTTGACAAATTATTTGCTTTAACACATGCTGGCATGTCTGATATTTTCCCCACGTTCTTTAAACATGAGATATACAATCAGACAAGAATATTGCTATGTTAATATTATTTCTGTTGTATTCTTTGTATAGTTACAAAACATAAAATAATAAGAGAGAAACATAAAAGAGTTGATTTAGAATGCTATTGGATAGAATTATGTAAATGCCTTTCACTTTCCTTGTGCTCCTATGCATCCTATCCTATAAACCTCTTTCTTAGTTCTCATATCACATTTCCGTTATAGACTACTGTTCCCTTCTACTCTCTCAGACACACACACACACACACACACACACACACACACACACTTTCTTCCACTTTTATGTCATTTATTTTCTTGTCAAACTTTTAGTTATCTACTCATGCTATTTTTCCTCCACCTCCAAGTCACCTTTCAACCTACTACAATAGGGTTTTTCTCTGACCCGTTACCACCACCTCTTGACTGAAACTGTTCTTATAAAGTCACCAATGTTTTACCTATTTCCAGACACAATGGGCATTTCTTAATGTTCATCTCTTCTTAAACATTTCCAATGAATTTGCATTTATGAGCTCATTCTGTTCTCACAACAACCCTTTGAGGCAGGTATTATTAACTCCATTTTACTGGTGGGACAAATGAGGCAGAGAGAGTAAGCCAGGTAACTTGCCCAATGTAGCTGAAGCAGAGCCAGGATTTGAACCCAAGCTGACTGATGCCAGAGTTTGCATTTTTTACCACCGTGTATTTCTGTACAATCTGTGGCTGCTCTTGTCAGACTTCTACATTCTCTTTTATTCCCTAGGAGGACTGAAATCTCTGACATGCCTAGTTTAAAAGCACCTCTCTCAAGTTCACTTGGTCTGTCCTTGCCTTTCATGCTCATTTTAGTCAACAGGTGGCCACTTCTTTGTTATTGAAAGACTTTTTTTCTCTTGAGTCCCATGATAAGATTGTGCTCTACGTTTCCTTTTATGCTGCTGTACCTTCCTTCTCAGATTCATTTTCTGGGTTCTTTTCCTCTTCCCAACATATAAAATTGGCTGTTTTCACATTACATCTCATCTCTTCTCTACTCTAGTTGGTTGCATTCTTTCCCAAGGATTTAAGCACTAACTTTATGTTGAATACTTTCAGGCTTGTATCTACAGACCTCTCATATCTAGCTACATCTCATAGATAACTCAAATTTAAGAGTCGGAAATGTTCATGATAATAGAAGAATTTTTACTTGCATATGCTATGTGCCAGTGACTGTTCTAAGTGTTCTACATATATTATCTCATAAAATCTTCACAGTAGCCTTCCATATAGGTGTTATTATAAAGCTCATGTTATACACAAGTGTGAGAGAGTTTGAGTAACTTGCCCAAGATCATCAAGCAAGGGGCAGAGACTGTTAAATCCAGTTTGGCTCCAGACATCTTGCTGTTTAGCTGTATGATAGAGATCTTTACCTAAAATAATCTTTTCCTTATTCTTTGCATTGGAAGTTAGCAAGCCCTTATATTTTGGGAATCAGCCTAAATTTTACCTCTTTAGAGAAGCTGTTCTTGATTATTTTGTCTAAAGTAGCTCCTGCCTGCTTACTCTCAGTATTGGCTTCCTTTTATTTCCTGGAAATTACCTAAAAAATTGTTTAAGTCATTTAATTTACTCATCACTATCATCATAGTCCATGGATTGTTTTGCTCCATACCCACTCAAATTCCTTTATGGTATGCCTTCCTGGATTACAGAGGTAGAAGGATTAAAATCTAATTTTCTCAGATTATCTTACAGCTGGGTTTTCCCATGTAATTTTGATAGCAACAGGAGACAGGAAAATTCTGGGAAGAAGAGGGTGGGTCCCCAGCTAGGGACCCACCCTCAAGCCGAAAAGCCTGATATCATGGCCCAAAATGAGAACTTGCATCCCTGTTTTCCTACTTAAATGTTGCCTTTTCCAAAACCACCCATAGCCCATCCCACCCCCCACATCCAGTGCCCATAAAAACCCCAGGTTCAGCTGGCAGAGGAAGGAGAAGCAGCTGGATATTAGAGACTAAGTTTGGATGTTAGAGAGAAGCAGCTTGAGTTCAGAGAAACAGCTTAAAGGTGTAGCTTTGGAGAGGAGTCTGGCTGGGGATAGCCAGACTTTGGGGGAGGATTGCCATCCTGCCCCATCCCCTTTTCAACTCCCCATCCTGCTGAAACCAACTTTCATTGGTAATAAAATCCCCCACATTTACCACCTCTAATTTGTTCATGTGACCTCATTTTTCTTGGTCACTGGTCAAGAGCTCGAGCAATGAGTGTGGATATAAGAGGGCCCACTGAGCTGTTAACACTTAAACCATCCACAGATGGCAGAGCTAAAAGAGCCCTTACTGTAACACTTCCTCTGGAGCTTCAGGGGTTCTGGGCACCCCACTGGACACTGTCATGAGGCCCCACATGGAGTTTGCTCCTGCCAGTGCCCAAAAGCACTTGCCCTGGCTCCTGCACCGACTCACCTGCATGCTCCCTCCTGCAAGGGGTTGAGTGCCGCAGGCTGAGTAACTGAGGCACCCCTGTTGTGAGGCCCGTGAAGAGGTCAGGGAAATACCCTGTTTCAATTTAGTTTTCTCTAATCAGAAGCTCTCACAGGGGAAATCAATGTGAAACTAAGTTATGTGGGGAAAGACACAGGGCATAAGGAAACAACTGTGCTCAAATAGATTATACAGAAAAGGCATAGCTCTAGAGATGTCAGGTGTGGCAGAAGATTCTTGATATTGTGGTTCCTGACTTGCAGAAACATGTTTCTGGAGCTGTCCACAGTGGTAGGAGCTTCGTGGTTATGCAGTTTTCTGATTGTGGTAGAGGCTGCAGCTTTTTTGCCACCTCAGTTCTTCAGCATGGCTTTAAGAGTTATTATGAAAGCTAAACCTAGAATCTGTTTCTTCAGTCCTCCCAGTGATGTTGTGAACTACTTATATGCTTATTAAATTCCTCCATGCTTAAACCAGCTTCAACAGACTCTGTTGTCTGCAATTAAAGGATCCAGACCAGTACATCTAATAGTTTGTGTGTTTATTTTATCTATCAGAATATAAGCATTCCAAGAGAAGCTAACCATTCCTGTCAATTGCTGAATTCCCAATGCCAGGCACAGCTTAGCTCAGAGTAGATGCCTAATATATAATTACTGAATTTCATAACATAAAGTTTTAGAAATGTTTAATCTCTTGTACAATGATGAAAACTGCTCTGGAATACCCTATAAAGAACTTCCAGTAGTACACCTTGCTGTTTTTCTATGTGTCTTATATTCCATTTCAGCTTGGTTCTAGAATATATCCAGAAGGTTAAGATTACTGAATAGGTAGCAGCTTCTCACTGTTCCTAAAATTTGCCATGCCTTTTTCATTTTTCTGCTGATATTTGTAATGCCGTGCCCTTCACTTTTCTCTTGGGTGAATTCCTATTCATTTTTCAAAGATAAACTGAATTATTTTCTTACAGCAGTCTTTCCCGTACTTCCCTCAAATGATTGATTAATCACACCTTAATCAGATGCATTAATATAGCCCTTATAATAAATTATTATAGCAGCAAGGTATGATTGATTAATCACACCTTAATGCAGATACATTATTATAGCACTTCTAGAATAACAGATAATATTTTGAGCCATTGTGTTATAAGCACTAGGTGAAATAAAATCTGTCAGTGAAGGAATATATTAAATTGACATAATGCTTGGTTGTGTAAATGTGTTATAAACTACAAAATGTAAGTCATTGCCTTTATTATTACATATGGAAGCAGAGAAAAACTATCATTCAATTTCATCTATTTCTCCTTCCAGGTAATTAGACTTCCAATTTACTCCATTTATCTTCTTTTTGTGGATTTACTTGTGTTACATATGATTTGACTTTTTCAAGCCTTGAAAAGAGGGCCAGTAAGCCCACAGAAGCCACATGTTAATTTGTGTGTCTGATCTGAAGAGTAGAAAGCTCTTTCAGAGTAGTTCCTCAGAAAATAGAGGACTAATTCACTTTGAAACTAGTTCATTCCTGCCTATAAAACATTACAATACTGCCCTCAAACAAATATATGTAAACAAATCCGTTTACTCATTTTTTCCTTTTACTTTCCTTTTTAATAAATTGTATCCACTTTGAAAATTATGTGTATTACATGTGTATTACAAAATAACCATTCTGGATATTTTGGTATTTTTAAAATATTATTTCATATATTAGGTGATTCAAATTCAAACAGTATAAATACCTAATATTGCTAATGTTTTCAGTTTTCATTAGAGACTGTGGTAAGCACATGTAAGAGAGCATGTACTATTTTGTATTCTGAATATTTTATTTGAAATATTTAATATTTGTAACATTAAATACAATGTCTCTCCACTGATTTTTATTTTACTTTTGTTCATAAACTAAAATTCACATCAAAAATAAAATTAAAAATGAAAGAAGTTATATTTACAATATTAAACATAAGCCAGATGTGGAAGCATGCTTTTCCAGATTAAACATTTACTGAGTTGGCGGGAAAAAACCTTCTTCCTCATTCATCCGAGTGAGTTTTGTTTGAATGAATTCTAATTTCTTATTCCTTTACCCTTTTCACCATCTTTCTGTTGCTTTGTTTACCTAATAGTAGTTTTTCCTTACCACTGCCTTCCACAGTTCTGCACAGCTGCTTCCCAGATGAGCTAAGTAGCTCATTTTAATCTTTAGATGAATGGGCTGCTCCTATATAGCTTTGACAGAAGGAGGGATTGAAATCTCTTTGGGACAGTTATCATTGGTACACATTTTTATTGAGGGAGTAGTCAGAGGAATTTGAATATAGAAAAACATCAAACATTATCTAGCTCTGCATCCTTCAAATTATATATATATTTTCTGCAAACTAATGAAGACAAAACATATATTTGTGAAAAAATGTAAAGGCATATATTCAGAAAACAAATAACCTGACTTTTCAAGCCTATTGACATTTCTAATCTTGTGCTTATTTACTAAAGGTTGATTAACCAAATTCTACAAAGTATTTCACCCAAATGCCTTTAAAGTGGTTCAAATTAATATGAGTTGAAGAAACAAAGCAATAACTCATTTTAGTTTTTGAGGCATAAATGACAAATAAAAATTGCATATATTTAAGATTTACAGAGTGATGTTTTGATATATGTATACACGTGAAATGATTGCCACAATCAGGCTAATTAACATAGCCATCATTTCACATAGTTACTAGTGTGTGTGTGTGTGTGTGTGTGTGTGTGGTGAGAACATTTAAGAGCTATTATCTGAGCAAATTTCAAGTATATAATAGGGTATTGTTAACTATTCACTTTGCTGTTCATTTAATCTCCAGAATTTATTCATCCTGCATAACTGAAACTTTGTCCAATTTGACCAGTATTTCCCCATTTCCATTGCCCCTGAACTCCCTTAATGTCAACCACTCTTCTACTTCCTGGTTCTGTGAGTGAGATTTTTTTAGATTCCACATATAAAGTGGGACCATACAGTATTTTTCTTCCTGTGTCTAGCTTATTTCACTTAGCATTATGTCCTCCACATCATCCACAAAAATAATAGTGTTTTCTTCTTTTTCAAGGCTGAATAATATTCCATTATATAGCTCTCTCTCTCACACACACACTCACACACATATCTGTACCTTAGAAACTGTGAATAATTCTGCAATGAACATAGGAGTTCAAATATTTGAGATAGTGGTTACATTTTTTTAAATATATATGCAGAAGTCGAATTGTTGGATCACATAGTAGTTAGATTTTTTAAATTTTTTAAGGAATCTCCACAATATTTTTCATAATGGCTGTACCAATTCATATTCCCACCAATATTGCACAAAAGAGTAAAGCTGTTTAAAACTTTATGTTATGATATTCGATAACTATATATTAGCATCTACCTACTCTGGGCTAAGCTGTGCCTCACACTGGGACTTCAGCAATTGGCAGTAATGGTTAACTTCTCTTGGAATGCTTATATTCTGGTACATAAAATAAACACACAAATTATTAGATGTACTGGTTAGGATCCTTAATTGTAGACAACGTGGTCTACTGAAGTTGGTTTAAGCACAGAGGTATTTAATAAGCATATAAATAATTCACAACATCTCTGGGGGGAACAAAGAAACTGACTCTAGGTTTAGCCTTCATAATGTACAAAGATTCTCTTTTTTTTTACATCCCTGTAAAGAAAAATCTTTTGTCTTTTTAATAATGCCCATTCTAACAAGTGTGAGGTGATATTTTATTGTGATTTTGATTTTCATATTTTTCATGATTAGTGAGGTTGGGCACCTTTTCATATATCTGTAGGCCATATGTACGTCTTCTTTTGAGAAACGTTTGGTTAGGTCTTTCAACCATTTTTTTTTAATTGGGTTATTTGTTTTCTTGCTGCTGAGTTGCTTGTGTTTCTTATATATTTTGGATATTAATCCCTTATCAGATGTGTGGTTTGCAAATATTTTCTCCCATTTCATAGATTGTGTCTTTATTCTGCTGATTGTTTCGTTTGCTATGCAGAAGCTTTTGTTAGATGCAATTCCATTTGTCATTTTTGCTTTTGTTGCCTGTGCTTGCTGGTTCATATCTAAAAAATCGTTGCCCAGACCAATGTACAGAAGCTTTTTCCCTATGTCATCTCCTAGCGGTTCTACATTTTCAGGTTTTATGTCTACATCTTTAATCTATTTTGTTTATTTTTATATACATTGCAAGATAAGGGTCCAATTTCTTTTTTTTTTTGCATGTATTCATTTAGTTTTTCTAGTATCATTTATTGAAGAGACCATCCTTTCCACATTGTGTTCTTGATACATTTGTTGAAGATCAATTGATCAAAAATATGTATATATTTCTGTGTTCTCTATTCTGTTCCATTGGTCTATATGTCTGTTTTTATGCTAGCATCATACTGTTCTGATTACTAAGCTTTATATTTTGAAATCACTCAGTGTAATGCCTACAATTTTGCTCCTCTTGCTCAAGGTTGCTTTGGGTATTTGACGTTTTTCATAGTTCTGTATGAATTTTAGGATTTTGTTTACTATCTGTGAAAAATATTATTGGAATGAGGATATTGCAATGATTCTGTAGATTATTTAGGAAGTATAAACATTTTAATAATGTTATTTTTTTCAATCCATAAACATGGGATGCCTTCATCTGCTTGTGCCTTCAATTTCTTTCATCAATGTTTCATAATTTTCAGTGTATAGTTTTTTCACATCTTTGGTTAAATTCATTCCTAAGCATTTTATTTTATTTTTGATGCTACTATAAATTGGGCTTTTTCTTAAATTTCTTCTTTAGATAGTTTGTTGTTAGTGGATATAATGCATCTGTTTTTTATATGTTGATTTTTGATCCTATTTTACTGAATTGATTTCATTTATTTGCTCTAACATTAATTTTCTCGATGGAATCTTTAGAATTTTCTACATATAAGATTATGTCATCTGCAAATAGAGATAGTCATACCTCTTCCTTTCTGATTTGGAAGCCTTTAATTTCTTCATCTTGTCCAAAAGCCCTGGCATGAATTTTCAGTACTATATTGAGTAGAAGCGCTGTGAGTGAGCATTCTTGTCTTAATACTTATCTTGGAGGAAAAGCTTTCGGTTTTTCGCCATCGAATATATTAGCTATGAGCTTGTCATATCATGCCTTTATTATGTTGAGATATATTCCTTCTATACCTAATCTGTTCAGAGTTTTTATATCATTGAAATATATTGATTTTTATTAAATGCCTTTTTTATTTACTGAGATAATCATACAATTTTTATTCTTCATTGTGTGAAAATGGTGCATCACATTTACTAATTTGCATATGTTGACTCATACTTCACTTTGTTGATTGTTTACTTTGCTGTGCAGAAACTTTATAACTTAATGTGATCCCACTTGTCCATTTTTGTTTTGGTTGCCTGTGCTTGTGGGGTATTACTCAAGAAATTTTTGCCCAGACCAATGTCCTGGAGAGATTCCCCAATGTTTTCTCATAGTAGTTTCATAGTTTGAGGTCTTAGATTTAAGTTTTTAATCAATTTTGATTTGGTTTTTGTATACAGTGAGAGATAAGAATCTAGTTTCTTTTTTGGATATGGATATCTACTTTTCCCAGCACCATTTATTCAACAGACTGCCTTTTCCCTGGTGTATGTTTTTGGCACCACGGTGGAAAATGAGTTCCCTGTAGGTGTGGGGATTTGTCTCCGGGTTCTCTATTCTGTCTCACTGGTCTATATGTTTGTTTTTATGCCAGTACCATGTTCTTTCAGTTATTACAGCTCTGTGGCATAATTTGAAGTCAGATAATGTGATTTCTTTAGTTTTGTTCTTTTGACTCAGGATAGCTTTGGCTATTCTGGGTCTTTTGTCATTCCATATAAACTTTAGGATTATTTTTCTATTCCTGTGAAGAATGGCATTGGTATTTTGAAAAGGATTGCATTGATTCTGTAGATTGCTTTGGGTAGTATGGATATTTTAATAATATTTATCTTCCAATCATGAACATAAAATATTTTTCCACTTTTTTGTGATCTCTGCAATTTCTTTTTTTTTTTTTTTTTTTCCTTTAATCTAGGGCTTCTCAAAGCTTTTATTTTTTTTTTTATTTTTTTTTTAATTTTTTTTTTTATTATACTCTAAGTTTTAGGGTACATGTGCACATTGTGCAGGTTAGTTACATATGTATACATGTGCCATGCTGGTGCGCTGCACCCACTAACGTGTCATCTAGCATTAGGTATATCTCCCAATGCTATCCCTCCCCCCTCCCCCGACCCCACCACAGTCCCCAGAGTGTGATATTCCCCTTCCTGTGTCCAAGTGATCTCATTGTTCAATTCCCACCTATGAGTGAGAATATGCGGTGTTTGGTTTTTTGTTCTTGCGATAGTTTACTGAGAATGATGGATTCCAATTTCATCCATGTCCCTACAAAGGACATGAACTCATCATTTTTTATGGCTGCATAGTATTCCATGGTGTATATGTGCCACATTTTCTTAATCCAGTCTATCATTGTTGGACATTTGGGTTGATCTTTGACAAACCTGAGAAAAACAAGCAATGGGGAAAGGATTCCCTATTTAATAAATGGTGCTGGGAAAACTGGCTAGCCATATGTAGAAAGCTGAAACTGGATCCCTTCCTTACACCTTATACAAAAATCAATTCAAGATGGATTAAAGATTTAAACGTTAGACCTAAAACCATAAAAACCCTAGAAGAAAACCTAGGCATTACCATTCAGGACATAGGCGTGGGCAAGGACTTCATGTCCAAAACACCAAAAGCAATGGCAACCAAAGCCAAAATTGAC